>NC_000017.11:2006262-2157777 GCF_000001405.40 Homo sapiens | reverse complement strand
ATGAGTGTTCTGAGGTTTTTGCCTGTTTTGGTTTTATTGGTGACCAACACCTCCTGATGAAGATCATTTGCAGACTTTACTACAAAGTTAAGCCTAACTTTAAGCTGAAAGCATGAGAGCCAAACAGTAAGATCCAAAGCTAGACAGGATTGGTTTTGGCAAAAGGAAAGTCCATGCTTTCTGCCTTCTTCCCTTTGGCCTGCTCAGTCATACTCATGTTGGGTGGTACTTAGTAAGCATGCTTCTAATTGTGGTTCCCTTCCACTTACCTTTGTGATAGGGGTACCAAAATCTGTTTACCCTCATCTTTGCTCTCTTCCAGAGGAACAGGAGAGGTAGTTGGGTCAGTGTGCCAGAAAAGCAGAAGTTGAGTATGTGGAGTTCATAGCTGCATGTATGAGTGTTTGTGGGGCAGGGAACTTTTAATGGAAAACATTTGTGTTGCATCGAAAACAGAGCGAGGCCTGGTTAGAGTCTGTCTGCTTTGTCTGTCAGTCTGTTCCCTACCAGCACTAGTCACTGTTCTCCTGGGAGTCTCAGGCATATTGTGGTTTCTTCTGCTCTTGCTAGCCCCTAATCTTGCCAGAGTTTTTGTGTCATGGGTGGCCCCGTGTGCAGTCTGGAGTAAGACTGCAAGGTTGGTGACTAATGGCTTTGAAGAAGGTACTTCAGCCCACATACGGACTTTGGGAACCTTTTTAGGTTAACCCTTAGGAGGAGGGAGGGTCTCTAGCACAAACAGTGGAAGAAACATGCTGAGATACATACAAACACTTTTTTAAACCCTTCCCTTACTGTTAGCAAAGCATGAACTAGAAGAATGGAGACACACCCGGTGACACCATGCCTGTAATCCCAGCACTTTGGGAAGCTAAAGCGGGAGGATCGCTCGAGCCCAGAAGTTCGAGACCAGTCTGGGCAACATAGTGAGACCTTGTCACCACAAAAAAATAAAAATTAGCCAGGCATGGCGTTGCATGCTTGTAGTCCCAGCTACTTGGAGGCTGAAGTGGGAGGATTGCTTGAGCCTGGAAGGTCGAGGCTACAGTGAGCAGTGATCGTGCCACTGCACTGTAGCCTGGGTTACACAGCAAGACCCTGTCTCAAAAAACAAACAAGCAAAAAAAAACAAAACAGAGACAGGAGGGAAAGGCTTGCTGTTTGGGCTTGGCATTTCATTTGTAAATGCTCATAAGGGATGCACCTGGGTGCCCAGTCTTGCATCTGACAGGCTGATGTTAGTCAAGTTGTGTGTGGCTGGATCTCTTTGGGAAATAACAGAAGAAAAGATGCTAATTTCCCTGAGGATAGTGTCACTCTAAGATAGAAGGACCTGTAGTTTGAGCTTTTAACTCTTTTTTTTTTTTTTTTTTTTTTTTTTTTTGAGAAGGAGTGTCTCTCTGTTGCCCAGGGTGAAGTACAGTGGTGCAATCTCAGCTCACTTCATCCTCCACCTCCCGAGTTCAAGCGATTCTCCTGCCTCAGCCTCCGGAGTAGCTGGGGTTACAGGCACCCACTGACCACGCCCGGCTAATTTTTTTTGTATTTTTAGTAGAGACAGAGTTTCATTATGTTGCCCAGGATGGTCTCGAACTCCTGACCTCAAATGATCTGCCCACCTCAGCTTCCCGAAGTGCTGGGATTACAGGCGTGAACCACGGCACCCGGCCTGAGCTCTATCTAATCTGAGTGCCCCTGAAATTGACATTTGTTCATTATTTTAAAAAAAAAAAAAAAAAGGTAAAGAAAACAGTAAAAGAGCAGCTCAGCTCAGTTTTCTGGGTCCCCAAGAAGGTACCCTACCAATGTGGTTTTCACATTTTCAGGTTTTTGGCTGGTGAATAAGATTGAGCAGAAATGCTTCTTCCCCTGATAACAATACATTCAAATGCAGGATCAGGAGCGTGTGGATTAAAACCAGACGGTGGATGATTAATACTTTTGCTTATAGAGGTAGACATGGCAGCTTCCTCCATTTAAATGAAAAGACCTTTTCTCTGCATTTGTATGTGTGCATATGCTTACATGCTTGTGCCCTTTATGTACAAGCTGCGTTTCTGTACCATTTCCTTCCTCTCTTGAAGCACCCAAAAAGTGCTAGAAGGACTAAGTTGTGAAGCAGAGGCGTGGAGATCAGACACTATGGTAGGAGTGGGATGTGTTCTCTTCTTCAGGCTCACTGCTTTCATAGCTTTCTGGGTACTGCTGTAACACACATCTTTTTCCATGGAACCTACTTGCTCCTTATGGTCATGTAACCTCATTATAAGAGGCATACTTTTTCATTTAATCTGCTATATCTTTGGAGGTGGCTATCCTCATCATTTTATTGTTAATGACATGAAGAGAAACTTTATTTTCACATGGATACTTTATGTTTTTTCCCTTACCCACTGAAAACATGACAGATTTCTTGGTTCATTCGCCGTGGCTCACGCCTATAATCCCAGCACTTTGGAAAGCTGAGGCGGGCAGATCACCTGAGGTCAGGAGCTTGAGACCAGCCTGACCAACATGGTGAAACCCTGTCTCTACTAAAAATACAAAAAGTAGCCGGGCATGGTGGCGCACACCTGTAATCCCAGTAATCCCAGCTGCTAGGGGTGCTAAGGCAGGAGAATCACTTGAACCAGCAAGGTGGAGGTTGCAGTGAGCTGAGATCCCACCACTGCACTCCAGCCTGGGTGATGGAGTGAGACTCCATCTCAAAAAAAAAAAAAAATTTTTTTTCTCAGAGTATACTTTGTTTTTTTTGAGACAACATCTTGTTTTGTTGCCAGTGCTGGAATGCAGTGGCTCACTGTGGCCTCAACCTTCTGAGCTCAAGGGATCCTCCCACCTCAGCTTCTGAGTAGCTGGGACCACAGGTACATGCTACCACACCCCGCTAATTTTTGTATTTTTTTGTAGAGATGAGATTTCACCATGTTGCCCAGGCTGGTCTTGAAGTCCTGAGCTCAAGCAGTTCACCCACCTTGGCCTCCCAAAGTGCTGTGATTACAGCCACCATGCTGTCCTTATACTTTTTAATTAGAGGTTAGCAGGTGTTTATTATTAACAATAGTTTCAGTATTCATTTTTATTAAGTTCTGTGCACATTAATCCCTTCCAGCCAGCAGGCCTCTAGTTAGTCTAGGCCTCTGATTTCAGCTTGAATATACACTTTGCTCTTTTGGAGAAACAGAGACCTCTGCCTAAGTGAAACAGGACATGTAAAGGGAGGAGGAATACCAGGCTGAGATTTCATACCTTTGTAATCTCTAAAGAAGGTTGTATTGTCTCTACAACAAGGAAAAAGTTGAAGGACAAAGGGCATAAAATTCTTTTTTTCCAACATAAATCTTTGTCTGTTTTATAGTGTTGTCTGTAATTTCAAGGTGAAAGTGGGCCCTCCCTCAGCCCCGTCACACTCTAGATGCATCCCCAGATTCCCCCCCGTCACCGTCACACTCTACATGCATCCCCAGGTTTCCCAGTCACCGTCACACTCTAGATGCATCCCCAGGTTTCCCAGTCACCGTCACACTCTAGATGCATCCCCAGGTTTCCCAGTCACCGTCACACTCTGCGTGCATCCCCAGGTTCCCCCGTCACCGTCACACTCTACGTGCATCCTCAGGTTTCCCAGTCACCGTCACACTCTACATGCATCCCCAGGTTCCCCAGTCACCGTCACACTCTACATGCATCCCCAGGTTCCCCCAGTCACCGTCACACTCTATATGCATCCCCAGGTTCCCCAGTCACCGTCACACTCTACATGCATCCCCAGGTTTCCCCAGTCACCGTCACACTCTACATGCATCCCCAGGTTCCCCAGTCACCGTCACACTCTACGTGCATCCCCAGGTTCCCCCGTCACCGTCACACTCTACGTGCCTCCCCAGGTTCCCCCGTCACCGCACACTCTACGTGCATCCCCAGGTTTCCCAGTCACCGTCACACTCTACATGCATCCCCAGGTTCCCCCAGTCACCATCACACTCTACGTGCATCCCCAGGTTTCCCAGTCACCGTCACACTCTAGATGCATCCCCAGGTTCCCCCGTCACCGTCACACTCTACATGCATCCCCAGGTTCCCCAGTCACCGTCACACTCTACATGCATCCCCAGGTTCCCCCAGTCACCGTCACACTCTACATGCATCCCCAGGTTCCCCAGTCACCGTCACACTCTACATGCATCCCCAGGTTCCCCCAGTCACCGCGTGGAGTGGCGTTCCACCAGTTTACCCCTGTGCCATAGAGACTCTTAGCAACCAAGATGGGCGGGTTTGCATAAGTTAAAATTCACTCTGTTGTACAGTTTTGAGAAACACATACTTTCATGTAACCATCACTACAATTAAGATATAGACCATTTTCAACACCCCCAAAAATTCCCTCATGCAACCAGCTCCCTTCCCAACCCCAGTCCCTGACAACTTCTGATGTTTTCTGTCTCTGTAACTTAGCTTTTTCCAGAATGACGTATAAATAAAATCATACAGTACATAGAGCAGGGGTGCCAATCTTTTGGCTTCCCTGGGCCACATTGGAAGAATTGTCTTGGGCCACACATAGACTACACTAACACTAACGATAGCTAATAAGCTTTAAAAAAAAGTCTCAAAAAACATCTCATAGTATTTTAAGAAAGTTTATAAATTTGCGTTGGGCTGCGTGGGCCACGGGTTGGATAAGCTTGATATAGAGCTCTTGAGTCTGGCTTCTTTTCGCATAGCGTAATACATTTGAGATTCATGCATGCTGTTGCCTATATCAATCATATGTTCTTTTTTGTTGCAGAGTAGTATTCCATTGTATACATACACTATGATTTGTTTATCCATTCACCAGTTGAACATTTGGGCTATTTGCAGTTTTTGGTGGTCATGGATAGAACTGCTGTAAACATTTGTGCATCAGTCTTTACGTTTCTTAAATGAACTTAGGTTTTCATTTCTCTTGGATAAATACTTAGGAGTGGAACGGGTGGTTTATGTGATAAGAGTATGTTTAACTTCGCTAGAGACCAGCAAACTGTTTTACAAAGTGGCTGCACCGTATTGCACGAGCAGTTCCTGTTCTGGCATCATTATCAGCACTTGATCCTGTCAGTTTGTTTGTTTTTTAATAATTATACTAGGTACCTTGTGATTTTAATTCGCATTTCTCTAATGGCTAATGATGTTGAGCATCTTTTCATATGTTCATTTGTCATCTGTGTATCTTCTTTGGTGAAGTGTCTATTCACATCTTTTGCCTATTGTTAAATCGGATTATTTTCTTACTGAGTCTTGAGAGGTCTTTATATATTTAGGATGCAAATCCTTTGTCAGGTACAAATGCATTGCAGATATTTTCTCTCAGTCTGTGGCTTGTCTTTTCACTTTAGAGACTAAGTTTTGACTGATTAAATGCTGAGAGCTGAAGGGTTCACAGGCTCTCTTAGTAGAGGACCATAAGGAAATTGAGACCTTAGTCAGCAGAAAGTTGTGAGGACCACCCCTTTTGAAGCTGTTTATTTAAAATGAAAGAGGGGGATAAGGGGTGGGCCAAACTGAATTGTCCAGACAGATTTCTGAAGCTTTTTTCAGTTCTTTCTCCTGTCCCCGCCTATGATGTAGCTTCTGGGCTCTTACCTTCAACTGGGTTCCTCACTTCCTGCCATCACTCCAAATTCATCAAGGCCTCTCCGGCTCAGGCCGACTCCAACAGAATACCCGAGAGGTCAGGCCAGCTTCTTGCCCGTAGTATATTCCAGAGTGAAGTCGTTTTTTGATAAGTAATCATTCCCAATTCTAAAGTGATAGCCTCCAAGGAGTCATTGCTTTGAAGAACTCCTTTCATCTCCAGCTGGACTCTTTTCCAAACAACCATCGGCAGAGCCTAGTCAGGGTTCTGACACACAGGGTTCTGCCATGAGAAGCAAATTGGCAGCAGCAGACAGGCCCCCGAGGCAATGGAATTCAGTTCTCAGAACATACTCACCATGGGTCTCTTTCATGTTGTGTGGAATTCTTTCCACTGGGCAGCCGCATAGGTGTAGGGAAAATGTCCTGCCCCATTGGATAAAAGTCAAGAGAAGATACTATGTGGAATCTTGTCACTTTTTAATTGCTGATCCGTGTTAAGATGTTTTTCTTAAGCAGCATTTGCCACTGACTAGACATTAGTAGAGTTTCTTTTTCTTTGTGCATGTGACATGGATCACTAACACTGCATGTGATGGTCAGAGGAGGCCTGCCTTAGTGCTGGAGATCTGACCATTTCTCCAGGACAGTGGAGCCTGGTGAAGGCTCTCTGACTTCTGATCCCAGTTGGAGCAATGTGTTCAGAGAAGAATTTCTGAGCCTTCGTGAATCTCAGTTATTTGCATGTCTTTTTGTAAGCAAACAGCAACTTGTAGGCAGGCTTAAAACTTTCTTTTTCTGCTCATGAAAGTACAGATTTTGCTATAGACAAATCAATTGAATATAAAACTGTAATGTGGAATAATATTTCAGGCTTTAAAAATGGAGGGATGGGTTAAAAAGTTCTGCAATAAATCTGCAAATGTGGAATCTAAGGGAAATGATCCCATCTGGAAAACCCTGCTAGTGGTGCTATGGCTGGTTTGTGGAGCAGTGCAGACTGTGGAGTGAAAAAAGACCCTGTAGTCTTGAAAGATGACAAGCTCCTTAATTGATGTCCATTTCAGCTGGTGCTGTGCCAGCTTATGTTGGCCTCGGTCCAGCGTTCCTGTAATTTGGGAGCCAGGTGTGAAGCATTTTTGTTCCATCTTGTTCCCCAGCATCTACAGAAGCCTCACCCATCTTACTTGAGGCGGCAGCACGCCATAGGAAACAGATGTACAGGTAGAGGTGGAAGGAAGTGTCACAGCTGGGTTACGGATTTTTTTTTTTTTTAATCCTTCACACTCAAGTGAGATCTGGGTTTGAGAGTTGGGGGAAAGGGTATTTCACAGCCTCGGTGTAAGATGTCACTGTCAAGTATCCTAATTAGACCAATACTCATTTGTGATTTTTAAAAACATATCTTATTACCTTAGAGTCATACTTTGTATAGGCAGAGATCTTTTGTGATTTGCCTTTGCCTGACTTCTGGGAACAGCAATATAAAGTGTAATAGGAAGAACATCTCAAGATGGCCATCAGAGTTGAACCTGGTCACTTCCATAGCATCGAGGGCCAGGAGACATAACCACCTAGAGGTGAGCTACCCCTGATGACATGGGGCATAGCTGTGTCCTTTGGGGATCACTTCCATAGCATCGAGGGCCAGGAAGACATAACCACCTAGAGGCGAGCTACCCCTGATGACATGGGGCATAGCTGTGTCCTTTGGGGATGTTGATGAACACAGTAGACAGTGCCAACAGCATCTGTTCAACACATTGGTATTGGGCCCTTGATACTCTAGACCGGTGGTCCCCAACCTTTTTGGCACCAGGAACTGGTTTTGTGGGAGACAGTTTTTCCACAGACAGGGTTAGCAGTGGGTGGTTTCAGGATGAAACTGTTCCACTTGCCATCATCCAGCATTAGTTAGGTTCTCAGAAGGAGCACGCAGGCTAGATTCCTTGCACGTGTGGTTCACAATAGGGTTCGCGCTCCACTCCTGTGAGAATCTAATGCTGCTGCTGACTTGACAGGAGGCGGAGCTCAGGCGGTCTTGCTTGCTTTGACCGCTCTCTTCCTGCTGTGCGGCCCAGTTCCTAACAAGCCATGGACTGGTACCACGGTCCACAACCCCGGGGGCTGGGACCCCTGCTCTAGACTGGATGCAGTTGGGGGAAGAAGGCACTCTGCCAGAATCTAACCTGTCTCCTTTCTAGCCCTCCTGCTAAACTGAACATGAATGAACAGGCAGTTCTGCCTTTTAGGATTACAAAACATGAGCAGGACCCTCCCGGTGGAAACATTAAAGTCCTGTGGACTTAGAACTGAAATGTTGGAATTGGTGCTTTGCCACTGACTTACATTTTGATAGAAGGCAAGTTTTAGCCTCTTAGGACTAAGAGCCAGCTCTGTTTCTTGGAGGGCCCAACCCATAAAAAGACAACTGAAGCAGTCCTTTGTTATTTCTTTCTTCACCTCCATATCTCACACAGACAGAGCTGAGGACAATATTTGGCCTTGCCAGTCAGACCACGATGTCAAGGAGTGCCTACAAGCCCTGCCTAGATTGCTTTTTGCTCCAGGTGTATGGGGGTCACGGGACAGCCCTTCGTTCACTGGTAGCTTTCACCTGTTCTTCCTTGTGTTGTCAATACCAGAAGCTGCAAAATGTCAACTACCAGAAGAGGCAAGAGGGTGAGGAGTTAGGAAGAGAGATTAGTCTTATTCTTTAAGTAATGTTCATTCTATTTTTTTAATTGTGATGAAATATACATAAGATAAAATTTACCATTTTAACCCTTTTTTTTTTTTTTTTTTTTTTTTTGAGGGGGAATCTCGCTCTGTCACCCAGGGTAGAGTGTAGTGGTGTGATCTCGGCTCACTGCAGCCTCTGCCTCCTGGGTTCAAGTGATTCTCCTGCTTCAGCCTCCCGAGTAGCTGGGATTACAGGCATGTGCCACCACGCCCGGCTAATTTTTGTATTTTTTGTAGAGACAGGGTTTCGCCATGTTGGCCAGGCTGGTCTCGAACTCCTGACCTCAAGTGATCCACTCTCCCCGGCCTCCCAAAGTGCTGGGATTATAGGCGTGACCCACTTTGCCCAGCCATTTTAACCAGTTTTTTAAATGTACGGTTCTACAGCATTAAGTACATTCAAACTGTTGTGTAGCCATCACCACAACCATCTCTAGAGCTTTTTCATCTTCACCAACTCAAACACTGTACCCATGAAATAATAAGTCTCCATTCCTCCCTCCCCACAGCCCCTGACAACCATCATTCTATTTACTTTCTCTCTGAATTTTTTTTTTTTTTGAGACAGAGTCTTACTCTGCCTCCCAGGTTGGAGAGCAGTGGTGCCATCTCAGCTCACTGCAACCTCAGTTTTCTGGGTTCAGGCAATTCTCCTGCCTCAGCCTTCTAAGTAGTTGGGATTACAGGTGCCTGCCACCACACCTGGCTAATTTTTGTATTTTTAGTAGAGACGGAGTCTTGGCATGTTGTCCAGGTTGGTCTTGAGCTCCTGGCCTCAAGTGATCCGCCCGCCTTGGCCTCTCAAAGTGTTGGGATTACAAGTATGAGCCATGGTGCCCAGCTTTTCTCTATAAATTTGACTACTCTGTGAACCTCATATAAGTGGAATCATAAAATATTTGTCCTTTTGTGATTGGCTTATTTCACTCAGCATAATGATTTCACGTTTTATCCGTGCCGTAGCACGTGGCAAAAGTTCATTTCTTTTTAATGCTGAATAATATTCTGTTGTATGCATACATCTACCACAATTTGTGTGTCCATTCACCTGTTGATGGACACTTGGGTTGCTTCCACTTTTTGGCTGTTGTGAACGTAAATGTACAAATATCTCTTTGAGATCCTGCTTTCAATTCTTTTGGGTGTATACCCAGAAGTAGAAAGTAGAATTGCTGAATCCTATGGTTGCTCTATGTTTAATTATTTTATTTTATTTTATTTTATTTTTTGAGATGGGGTCTCACTCTGTCGCCCAGGCTGGAGTGCAGTGGCACACTCTCAGCTCACTGCAACCTGCACCTCCTGGGCTCAAACGATCGTCCCACCTCAGCCTCCCCAGTAGCTGGGACCACAGGTGCGCACCACCACACCCAGCTAAGTTTTTGTGTTTTTGGTAGAGATGGGGTTTCACCATGTTGCCCAGGCTGGTGTCGAACTCCTGAGCTCAAGCGATCCACCCACCTCGGCCCAAAGCACTGGGATTTAAGGCGTGAGGCACCGTGCCCGGTCATCTGTGTTTAATTTTTTGAAGAATCGTCATACATTTTCCACAGCGGCTGTACTATTTTACATCCTCACCAATAGTGCACAGGAGTTCCAGTTTCTTCACATTCTCACAATACTTTTGTTTTTTAGTAACAGCCATCCTAGTCGGTGTATTGGTGTGAAGCAGTATTGCACTGTGGTTTTGATTTTGCATTTTCCTAATGACAAGTGATGTCGAACATCTTTTTGTGTGCTTATTTGTTGTGTTCATTTTAAATGTATAATTTCTCCTTTCTCAGTTGATTGGCCTTGGAATGCTTGAGCATTAAGGTGTCAGATGTTGGCTCTGATCATTTTTTTTTAAGAAGTAAGGTCTCATTATGTTGCCCAGGCGGGACTTGAACTCCTGAGCTCAAGTGATTCTCCTGCCTCAGCCTTCCCAGTAGCTGAGACTACTCGTGTGCACCACTACGCCCACCTAGGCTCTGATCCTAACTTGCTATAAGCTACTTGTGTGGCCTATAACCTATAGCTGTTTTTTTGAGATGTAGTCTTGCTCTGTCACCCAGGCTGGAGTGCAGTGGTGCAATCCTGGCTCACTGCAACCTCTGCCTCCCAGGTTCAAGTGATTCTCCTGCCTCAGCCTCCCAAGTAGCTGGGATTACAGTCACCCACCACCACGCTCAGCTAATTTTTGTATTTTTAGTAGAGACAGGGTTTCACCATGTTGGCCAGGCTGGTCTCAAACTCCTGACCTCAAATGATCCACCCACCTCGGCCTCCCAAAGTTCTGGGATTACAGGTGTGAGCCACCATTCTGGCCCCTATAACCTATAGCTTTCTAAACCAAACGAACAAAAACTCTATCTCATATATACCTTCTTTTGGATTTTCTTTCTTTTTGAAGCAAAAGTGAAATATCCCTGTAACCTCTCTGGGCTTCTGTATCTTCTTCAATAAAATAAGGAAACCCCTAACTGCCCTACCCAGCTCAAAGAGCTGTTGTGAGAATTAAAGGAGATCAGCTCTATGAAAGCACTTTGTAAAGATTTTATAAAAATACAATTTAGGCCATGCGTGGTGGCTCACACGTGTAATCCCAGCTTTTTGGGAGGCTGAGGTGAGTGGCTCACTTCAGGCCAGGAATTGAAGACTAGCCTGGTCAACATGGTGAAACCCAATTTCTACTAAAAATACAAAACTTAGCCGGGCGTGGCAGCATGCGCCTGTAGTCCTAGCTACCTGGGAGGCTGAAGTGGGCAGATCACTTGAGCTTAAGAGTTCGAGAATCACTTGAACATGGGAGGTGGAGGTTGCAGTGAGCTGAGATCACGCCACCGCACTGTAGCCTGAGTGGCAGAGTCTTAGTCTCAAAAAAAGAAAAGACATTATCATCTTGAGCCATCAAATTCACTGTTACTGAAATTCTTTGCTAAACCTGAAGGCAAAACAAATTTAGTCTTTTTGTCTTAGACCAAAGGCTGTATGTTTCTTTGGTAGGTAAGGGGAACAGAGCACAGGTGACCTACTTACTCATATCTGTTCATCTCCCAGTATGGGGTTGCCTCCTCTGAACTAGGGCAAGGGTCAAGTCTCTGACTTGGTTTTTCCCTGAAAATGGTCACAAAGTCTGCTCAGCATTGTTTAGGGATGTGGATGCATTGGCCCCATCACCTGCCCATCTAAAGTAAGCATGTTATGTAATCTAACAAATATTTACCACTTAGCATGTGCCAGACACCAGAGTTCATGCTTCCACATGCTTCACTAGGTTTTACTTAAGCATATTTTTGCATTACTATTGTTTTTTGAGAATTATAACCTCCCACATATATTATTTTAGTTCATTTAATCATATCTTCTAGGCCCTTTTTCTCCTGTTGTTTCTTTGTTTCAACAAAGAGAAATATTTAGGAAAGGAGTCCCTTAAGATTTTACTTATTTTAAATATTTTTAGTTATTCAGATGCTAATCTGAATAACTGAAAGACATGGAATATATATTGAGATTTAGATAGAGCATCATTCATCTACTCAGGAACAGTTGCAGACAGGTAGAATCTACATTGACCCAAACTTCAGGGTGGATTGTGCTTTCCAGAAACTATTCCAGTTACCAACAGTCACCTAATTGAGTTCAGAATGGATGAATAAGAATGGATTTTCCTCTCTGTGGCTTCTTGTTTTTTGTTTTTTCTTTTTTGTTTTTATTTCTGGAGGTACATCAGCATCCTCTCTGTGGCTTCTGATGCAAAGGTAAGCTATATGCTTTTTTTTTTTTTTTTTTTTTTTGGGGAGATGGAGCCTTGCTCTGTCACCAAGGCTGGAGTGCAGTGGCGCGATCTCGGCCATTTCGGCCTCCCAAAGTTTTGGGATTACAGGTGTGAGCCACTGCGCCCACCCTACATGAGGTTTTTAGAACTCAAGGAGCTTAATAGGGTCTTCCATTTTTAGTTGTATGGTAGGATTAGATACACTGAACAACCTTCTCAATTAACACAGCTAAAGTGCTCCCTGTAGGCTGGGCACAGTGGCTCACGCCTGTAATCCCAGCACTTTGGGAGGCTGAGGCAGGTGGATTGCCTGAGCTCAGGAGTTGAAGACCAGCCTGGGGGAAACCCTGTCTTTACTAAGAGGACAAAAAAAAAAAAAAAATTAGCTGGGTGTGGTGGCACACGCCTGTAGTCCCAGCTACTCAGAAGGCTGAAGCATGAGAATCGCTTGAACCCAGGAGGTAGATGTTGCAGTGAACCGATTTCACCCCACTGATCAGCCTGGGCAACAGAGCGACAGAGAGAGACTGTCTCCAAAAAAATAAAAATATAAATAAATAACATAAAATGCTAACTATAATATAACGCATCCTGAGCTGGCATGAAAACGAGAAATCTGCAGATCTTAAGAACTAAATGAACAAAAGATTTCTGAAAAGTAAGCGAGTGCCAAAGCTGGCTGGTGCTTGCCCTGATGATTTCTGTCAAGCCCTGGAAGCTTTGGGCTTACTCACTAAAAACTGCTTGGACTATGGTGAGCGGGCCTGAAAGCGTGGGGTGCGCCCTAGGTGAGGAATGATGTAGGAGGCCCTGCCTAAAGCTGGGATTCCAGCTTTAGGAAACCTCATGGTGAGCATTTTACGACCATGAGCTAACCCTCACCTGAGTTTTGAGTCTGAATTCATACTACCTATGTACTCTGAAAAACCTTGAGCAGCAGATGGTTTAATTTAAAGTGATCTCTGTGTCTGACAGTGTCCCAGGGTAACCCGCAGAAGCAAAGACAAGTCCTCTCTGGAAAAAAGCAGCTTCTACTCAGGCCACAAAGAATTCCCGTGGATACAGTTCCATGGAAATCAGCCCACAGCCTTTAATATACTTAAAGTAAATAATTATCATTCCCAAAAAAGCTACCTTGTAAAGGATAAACAAAGGTGACCAGGCATGGTGGGTCATGCCTGTAAACCCACTACTTAGGGAAGTCAAGGCAGGAGGATCACTTGAGCTCTGGAGTTCCAGACCCGCCCGGGAAACATGATGAGAAACCCATCTCTACAAAAAGATTTAAAAATTAATGGCCAGGCGCCATGGCTCACGCCTGTAACCGCAGCATGTTGGGAGGCCGAGGCGGGCAGATCACCTGAAGTCAGGAGTTTGAGACCAGCCTGGTCTCGAGGTCAACAAGGCGAAACCCCGTCTCTACTGAAAATATAAAAATTAGCTGGGCGTGATGGCAGGCACCTGTAATCCCAGCTACTCTGGAGCCTGAGGCAGGAGAATCACTTGAACCCGGGAGGCGGACATTGCAGTGAGCCGAGATCGCACCATTGCACTCCAGCCTGGGCAACAAGAGTGAAACTGCATCTCAAAAAAAAAAAAAAAAAAAAAAAAAAGCGGCCGTGGTGGCATGCACTTATAGTCCCAGTACTTGGGAGGCTAAGTGGGGAGGATCCCTTAAGTCCAGGAGTTTCAGCCTTCAGTGAGCCATGATCCTGCCACTTGCAGCCAAAACTGATCAAATTGTACACTTTAAATATGTGCAGTTTTAGTACACTTCAGTTATACCCCAGTACAGTTGTGGAGAAAAAAATCTAAAAGAATACTTTTAACCCCTTTAGCTTAAAAAGATACAATTTATTATTTCCTAACTACAAAATAAGAGTGAAGATGTTTTAATACCCTTTTTAAATTTTAATCAATTTATTGAGATATGATTCACATTCCATGAAGTTCAACCTTTTAAAGTACACAATTCCGTTGTTTCATTATATTCATAGAGCAATACAACAATCACCACTAATTTCAGAACATTTTCATTACCTCATAAAGAAACCCTCTACCTATCGCGTCATCTCCATTTTCCCTTCTTCCTAGCCCCTGTCAACCACTAGTTTACTTTCAGTCTCTCTAGATTTGCCTCTTCTGCTTCTTTCATATGAATGGGATCATATAATTATGGCCTTTTGTATCTGGTGTCTTCTGGTTTGCTTAATGTTTTAAGGTTCATCCATGTCACAGCTCATATCAGTACTTCATTCCTTTTTATGCCTGAATCATATTCCATTATATGGTAATTCCACATTTGTTTATCCATTCATCAGTTTCATAAACATTTAGGTTGTTTGCATTTTTTGGCTATTATGAATAATGTTGATATGAACATTTGTGTATGAGTTTTTATGTGGACATATGTTTTCATTTCTCTTAGATATATATACCTAGAAGTAGTATTGTTTGGTCATATGGTAAACTGTGTTTAACTCTTGGAGGAACTTCCACACTAGACAGTTTTCCAAAGCAGCTGCAACATTTTACATTCTCACTAGCAGCAAATGTATGAGGGTTCAATTTCCCCACATCTTCACTAACACTTATTATTTTTTTTATTATAGCCATCCTAGTGTGTGTGAAGTGGTATCTCAGTTGTGATTTTCACTTGCATTTCTCAATAACTAATGATGTTGAACAGCTTTTCATGTGTTCAGTGGCTGTTGGTATTTCTTTGGAATACTGTTCAAATATTTGCCTACTTTTTTTTTTTTTTTTTTTTTTTTGAGACAGTGTTTTGCTCTTGTTGCCCAGGCTGGAGTGCAATGGCGCAATCTTGGCTCACCGCAACCTCCGCCTCCCAGGTTCAACCAATTCTCCCGCCTCAGCCTCCCGAGTAGCTGGGGTTACAGGCATGCGCCACCACGCCTGGCTAATTTTTTTTTTTATTTTTAGTAGAGACGGGGTTTCTCCATGTTGGTCAGGCTGGTCTCGAACTCCTGGCCTCAGGTGATCCGCCCACCTCAGCCTCCCAAAGTGCTGGGATTACAGGCGTGAGCCACTGTGCCCGGCCATATTTGCCTACTTTTAAAATTGGGTTGTCTTTTATTGTTGAGTTGTAGGAGTTCATAGATAGATAGATAGATAGAAAGATTACATTGAGTTGTAGGAGTTCATAGATAGATAGACAGACAGACAGAGAGGGTCTCACTGTGTTGCCCAGGCTGGTTTTGAACTCCTGGGCTCCAGCGATCCTCCTGCCTTGGCCTCCCAAAGTGCTGGGATTACAGGCATGAGTCACCACACCCAGCCTTGAGTTGCAGGAGTTCTTTATAGATTCTGGATACAAGTCCTTTATCAGATAAATGATTTACAAATATTTTCTCCCTATGATTTGATTGTCCTTGCACTTTCTTGAATGTTTTAATTTTTACGAAGTCCAATTAATCTGGTTTATTTTATTTTGTTACTTGTGCTTTGGTGTTATAAAGACATTTTTAAACAATAAGGACTGGGAGAAGCTGGTGTGCGCCTGTATTCCCAGCCACTTGGGAGGCTAAGACAGGAGGATCACTGGAGCCCAGGCATTGGAGTCCAGCCATAGTGAGATCCTGTCCTCCCGCCAAAAACAAAAACAAAACAGAGTTTATCACCAAATATCCTCACTAAACGAAGTTTCTTCTACCTGAAGTACACACTTCAGAAAAGTATCCTAGATTCCAAAGAAATGGTAAACAGTGATTGTAACTATAAAATTGGATCAGATTGATTACAAAGGAACCATGGAGTTAAAAGCTTCCTTAGAAGACATCAGGGCCAGTCTCTTATCTAATGAAAAAATAGTCCTCCAGTTTTCTCAATGGCCTCTGCTCCAGATGCTTCCCCAGAATTTACTCTATTATGAGACAGTCACTATAAAAAGTTCCTCCTCAGGCTGAGTGAGGTGGCTTGTGCCTGTCATCTCAGCACTTTGGGAGGCCAAGGTAGGAGGAGCACTTGAGCCCAGGAGTTCAAGACCAGCCATGCAACATAGCAAGACCCTGCCTCTGCAAAAAAATTTTTTAAAAATTAGCGGGTATGGTGTGCACACCTGTGGTCCTAGCCATTCAAGTGGCTGAGGCAGGAGGATCACTTGAGCCCAGGATTTCAAGGTTACAGTGAGCTGTGATTGTGCCACTGCACTCCAGCCTGGGTGACAGAGCAAGACCGCATCTCTAAGAAAAAAAAGTTCCTTCTCAAACTGAACACAGCCTGCCTTCCTGTAATTCCCACTTAATGATTTTTTAAAAGTTTTCTCAAAATCACAAAGTCTGTTTTTTCTATATCTGACACACCTTAGTTATACTTGAAATTCTCTTTACGTTTTCTTTTCTCTAAGCTAAACAAACCAGTGCAATCAAATAGATTCTTGGCCAGTGCTGCGAAATATTATAGGACTTTATGTAATGATGCAGTGTTTAGTACTGTAATGATGGAAAGTTACTATTTCCACACCATCCTCTATGGTAGCCACTGGCCACATGTGACTTTTGAATACTTGAAATGTGGCTAGTGCAACCGAAAAACAAATCTTAATGTAGTTAAATTGAAATATCCACATGTGGCTAGTGGCTACTGTATTAAACACTGCAATTCTAGATCATTCTCCTGGCCAGATTTCTCTGTGCCATTACCAGCAGCATCAGATTCACCTGGGAACTTGTAATGTTTTAGGCCCTACCTCAGCCTTTTGAATCATAAACAGTTGAGGGTGGAGCCCAGCAGGCTCATTTAACAAGCTCTCCAGGTGATTCCAATGCACTAATACTTGAAAGGCAATTCCAGTTTGTCAAGGCTTCTGTAAAAAGCAGTGCTCAGACAAGGTCTGACATGCATGGATTTCACCTAAAGACAGCTTCAATGGCTTTTTTTTTTAATTGAATACTACTTTCTAAATATTGCATTGACTGCATGTTATAAAAATGAATACAATGTGGATATGAAGAATTTTTTTTTTTTTTTTTGAGATGGAATCTCACTCTGTCACCCAGGCTGGAGTGCAGTGGTGCAATCTCGGCTCACTGCAACCTCCGCCTCCCAGGTTCAAGCGATTCTCCTGCCTCAGCCTCCCAAGTAGCTGGGACAACAGGTGCGTGCTACCACACCCGGCTGATTTTTTTGCATTTTTAGTAGAGACAGGATTTCACCATGCTAGCCAGGATGGTCTTGATCTCCTGACCTCAGGATCCACCCACCTTGGCCTCCCAAAGTATTGGGATTACAGGTGTGAGCCATCGTACCCGGCCTGGATATGAAGAATTTAAAAAAATAAAGTGTCAGGCCAGGTGCAGTGGCTTACGCCTGTAACCCCAGCACTTTGGGAGGCTGAGGCATGCAGATCACTTGATATCAGGAGACCAGCTTAGGCAGCATGGCAAAACCCCATCTCTACTAAAAGTACAAAAACTAGTTGGGCATGGTTGCACATGCCTGTGGTCCCAGCTACTTGGGAGTTTGAGGTGGGAGGATCACTGGAGCCTGGGAGGCGGAGGTTGCAGTGAGCCGAGGTCTCACTACTGCACTCCAGCATGGGTGACAGAGTGAGACCCTGTCTCAAAAATAAAGTGCCCCTTAACAGTTTAAAAAAAATTAGTTAACAGGCAGTTTCCCAGCTGGGCGTGGTGGCTCACGCCTGTAATCCCAGCACTTTGGGAGGCTGAGGTGGGAGGATCACATGAGCTCAGGAATTCGAGAGCAGCCTGGGCAACATGGTGAAATCCCATCTCTACTAAAAATACAAAAATTAGCCGGGTATGGTGGCATGCGCCTGTAATCCCAGCTACTTGGGAGGCTGAGGCAGGAGAATCGCTCAAACTCAGGAGGTAGAGGTGACAGTGAGCCAAGATCACACCACTGCACTCCAGCCTGGGTGACAGAGCGAAACTCCATCTCAAAAAAAAAATTTGTTTGTTAAATGTCTTGGCACAGTGGCTCACACCTGTAGTCCCAGCACTTTGGGAACCAAGGCAGACAGATCACTTGCGGTCAGGAGTTCAAGACCAGCCTGGCCAACATGGCGAAACCCCGTCTCTACTAAAAATACAAAATTAGCCAGGCATGGTGGCGCACGCCTGTGATCCCAGCTCCTTGGGAAGTTGAGGCTGGAGAATCGCTTGATGCCGGGAGGCCAAGGGTGCAGTGAGCTGAGAT
Organism: Homo sapiens; assembly: GCF_000001405.40. Taxonomy (NCBI): domain Eukaryota; kingdom Metazoa; phylum Chordata; class Mammalia; order Primates; family Hominidae; genus Homo; species Homo sapiens. The sequence continues at coordinate 2,139,485 of NC_000017.11, read as the reverse complement.
CGCGCCACTGCACTCCAGCCTGGGTGACAGAGTGAGACTCCATCTCAAAAAAAAAAAAAAGAAAAAAGCAGGCACTTTTCCATAAGTTTCACACGGTCTTATAGTACTAGAACCCTGAGCTCTTGATTGTCAGTCTGGCGTGCTTTCCATCTCTTAGGCTGTTTGGTGAAATAGGCCTCACTGTTTGGTTTGGTGTCTCCCAGAAGAGAAAAATCTGGTTCCTTGGCATTTATTTTACCTACCCCATTTGGGGGCTGTTTCTTCTGCCTTTTCTTGCACAACTTCCCCATTGTTAGATGCCTCTGTAGTCACTCCCAATACCCTGGAAACATCTCCCTTTTTTAGGGTTTAACAGACTTCACCTGTATAGTTACTGTCTTTTAATATGACTTTCGTCCTCTTATGCTTGAAACCTAGAAGAGGAGCTGGCTTGTTCTGCTGGCCTTGAGCCAGATGTCATAACTTCAGGCAGTGCCACGCTACACATCTCCAGCAGTTTGGAATGGAGAACAGAGTTAGAGATAAGATCAGCAGCTTTAGGTGATGGCTTTGTTTCAAATAAACCATGCATGACCCAAGCCTCCACTTCAAATGGGGAATGAAATTGCTTTATCCTTTGACAGCTTGCTCTATGAAATACATTTATCTTCACTTAATTGCTTTAGATCCCAAGAGGCTACATACAGTAATTTCTAGGAGATAATTATATCAAATTTTAAAAATATGTGACTGTGGACATGAATATGTAACTGCAGTGGACAGGGAGGGAGAGAGGTGGGGGAAACCAAAAGTCCTGCTGACCTTGCTGGTAAGTTTCCATTCTTATTCTTAGAGTTTCCTTGGGTCATAGACCACTTACTCTCTGAATCTGCTGATTCATATGTGGGGTCCTTTGTACCCCATGCTGCTAGGGTTAAAGCATCTGGTCTACTACTCCTGTAGCTGGATAGTGTTTTGCTCAGTCTCCTCCTGAAACTGGGAGGGGTCAGGCTGGTGGCTGACTTCCGGTTATATGTCTTCATTTAGTCTGGCTGGGCACAGTCTGTCTACACTGTAGGCCACAGCCACTGGGGGTTCTGGTTAGTGGCAGCTGAGAACCAGCAAACTTGTTGATTTTAAAACATGACTATTTAGATGTCAGGGATAAACTTCCTGTAGATGGGGGACAGGCTTCTTTATCTTGGAGTGTTTGAGTATCCAGTTCTCATTTCCCTAACCTTTACATTTGAAAAAATCTAAAGCTTTCACTGTCATTTTCACTAATCCCAGCCACTGCCTACCTTTACCGTATATTTTTTTTCTTCTTTCTGAAATTCCAGGGTGTTTTTTTTTTCCTGCCTCCTACTAAATAACTGTATTTCCATGTTGTGATATAACAACACCAAAGGCATTTTCCAGGTGTGGACACAGTTCTGGGCCATCGCTCAGCTCTTTCTGTCTGCATCTGCCTTTAAGACTACACACTGGACAATTCGATTGTGAGCTCCGTGATACTACTCTCCAACCGCCATCCCCAAGTGTCTAGTGTGGTGCTCATGTCTTATGAGGGCTGTGTGAGGAAGAGCCAGTGAGGCCTAGCTGAATGACATGGTTGACAGGCACTCCTGCTGTAAAGACAAGGAAGATCTGACTTGGAGATACAGAGGACATTTGGATTCTGTACTAAGGTCCATGAATATCTAAGCCAGCTTGCGGGTGGGGGATGTGCCAAAACCAATCAAGGTGGGCTGACTGAATCAGAGAATCTATAGAGCCAAAGACTTTCAATTCCCATCAAGTTCTCTCAAGACCTAGTCCCATGGCGCTTTCTGCTTGCTGGGGTCATTCTCCAGGTGTCTTTTATCCCTTCATTCTCACTTAATCAGGGTCAGCCACACTCCTCAGTTCACTGAGAGGGAAGTGTTGCCTTTTCTTTTAAACTCCTCCCCGAGAACCCTGACAGCTGTGATGAGTAAGCCCATTTGCATGTGAAAGGTCCTGCTGGCGTGCCTGTAAGCGAATCTGCAGCGAGTACTGTCACACCATTTCTTGGAGTCACATCAAGGAGTTTTTTAAGGAATGACACTTTGGCTCACATCGAAAACATGAGCACCTGAATAGCAGCCTGTGGGGGTCATCAAGGTTAGGGTGTTTGTTCTAGTGTGTTTCTTTTGAGCTGGAAAAACATTTCTCCGTATATCACCACTTTTGGTACTCCCTTCTGGAGAGTTGCTTTTCTCCTGTCTACCTATTAGTGTGGTAGTAGTAACCTGTACCAAGAAGCGTTCCGTGGTTAGTAACCTGCATTCAAACCATTTCTTTTAGCTGGATCCTTTTTTTGAGTCAGGGTCTCACTCTGTCACCCAGGCTGGAGTGCAGCGGCGGGATCTGCGCTCACTGCAACCTCCACCTCCTGGGTTCAAGTAGCGATCCTCCTACCTCAGCCTCCAAGGTAGCTGGGACTACAGGCGTGTGCCACCATGCCCAGCTAATTTTTTTATTTTATTTTTTTGTAAAGAAGAGGTCTCACCATGTTGCCCAGCCTGTTCTTGAACTCCTGGCTCAAGCAATTCTCCTGCCTCGGCCTCCCAAAGTGCTGAAATTACAAGCGTGAGCCATCATGCCTGACCTTAATTTGATCTTTCAGGAGCAGAACATGCCTGTTTTTTCTTGTGTTTTATTTAATAAAAAGAACATACTAAACTTATGTAAGGACTTACCAAGAAGGATAATTGAAATTCTGGTGTCTTTAGACAAAAAAGCTAAAAAAAAAAAAAGGAAAAAAAGGTGAGGCCTTTTCAGGGATTGAATCGTCTTTGGTGCATTTTTTGGTGAATTCCATGAATCCAGCTATTTTGGTGTATTCAGTAAAGTTTTCCCTGAGTTTGACTTAGGACTCTGTGTGCGTATGCGTGTGTGTGTTGAACATATGTGTCTATTCCTCTGGAAAGATCATTAAATCCAAATTCTGAATAGGGAAATGGAGACTTTCCAAGGAGTGTCAGGAGCAGGCGAAAAGGAAACATTTTGCCACAGATATTTAGAATCAATGAGATAGATGAGATAGAAATGAAGAAATGCCATGATTTACTTCTATTTCTTAGAGCTCACTGTGTGGTTGACTGATAACAGTCACTAGCCACATTTGTCTACTTAAATTAATTGGCCAGGCGCAGTGACTCATGCCTGTAATCCCAGCACTTTGGGAGGCTGAGGTCAGGAGTTCGAGACCAGCCTAGCCAACATGGTGAAACCCCGTCTATGCTAAAAATACAAAAATTAGCCAGGCATGGTGTGCATGCCTGTAATCCCAGCTACTCAGGAAACTGAGACGTGAAAATCGCTTGAACCCCAGGGCAGAGGTTTCAGTGAGCCAAGATCACACCACTGCACTCCAGCCTGGGCGACAGAGCGAGACTCTGTCTCAAAAAATATGTATATATTTATATCTGTATATATACACACACAGACACACACACACACACACACACACACACACACACACACACATAAATATATATATAGGCTAGGTGTGGTATCTCATGCCTGTAATCCCAGCACTTTGAGAGGCCAGTGTGGGAGGATTGAGTCCAAGCGTTCAAGACCAGCCTGGACAACATAGTGAGATTCCATCTCTACACAAAATTTAAGTTAGCTGGGCATGGTGGTAGCGCCTGTAGTCCCAGCTACTCAAGGGGCTAAGGTGGGAAGATTGCTTGAGCCTGAGAGGTTAAGGCTATAGTGAGCTGTGATTGCACCACTGCACTCCAGCCTGGGTGACAGAGTGAGAACACTGTTTCAATCAATCAGTCAAAACTTAGTTAATTAAAATTAAGTAAAATTGAAAAATCAATTCTTCAGTCACACTAGTCACATTTCTAGTGGTCAGTAACCACATGAGACTAATGGGTACTGTATTGTCAAGCATAATATAGAACATTTCCATTATTGCCATAAGGTTCTCTTAGACAGCTTTGCTTTGTGATAAAGTCACTAAGTATAACTCAGTTTTTAAGATTGGGGTTGGTGGGGGTGGACGGGGAAAGAGGAGACGTTGGGCAAAGGATACAGAGTTTTTATTAGACAAGAGGAGTAGGTTCTTGTGATCTGTTGTACAGCATGGTGACTAGAGTGAATAATGTATATTTCAAAATAGCTTAAAGAATAGATTTTTAATGTTCTCACCACAAATAAATAAGTATATGAGATGACGAATGTGTTACATAGTCCAATTTGATTGTTCCACATGTATACATTTATCAAAACATCACATTGTGCTTCATAAATATATACAATTACTATTTGTCAATTTAAAATAAAACTATTAGGCTGGGTGCAGTGGCTCATGCCTGTAATCCCAGCACTTTGGGAGGCCGAGGCAGGTGGATCACCTGAGGTCAGGAATTTGAGACCAGCCTCGCCAACATGGCAAAACTCCATTTCTACTAAAAATACAAAAATTAGCCAGGCATGGTGGCTCACGCCTGTAATCCCAGCTAGTCGGGAGCCTGAGGTAGGAGAATCACTTGAACCCAGGAGGCAGAAGTTGCAATGAGCCGAGTTCGTGCCACGGAACTCCAGCCTGGGTGACAGAGTGAGACTCTGTCTCAAAAAAAAAAATAAATTAAAATAAAACTTTTTAAAAAAGGTCTGGGATGATGACAGGGAGGATATTGAGAGGGAGATACTAGGATTTGAATAGCTAAAGCCATTTAATTAGGAATGAATCAGCATCAGAAGCCATGGACTTCAAAGAGTGGAAAATTACAAGATTCCTACTGAGATAATTTAGTAGTGTATTTAGCAGGATTCAGAATATTATCTCCAACATGATCAATTTTCATGACCTTCTATAAGGAATTTGTCTACTCTTATAAACAGCCTCCTTTCATAGACTTCTTAAAAAGTGATTTTGTCTTTATGCCTTCATTGTTAACACTTGCTTTTCCAATCTCAGTGTTTCATTTTCATAGATAAAACTTACATCAGCATTTTCCGTAGTGCTATCATGATGTATTATTTCATTTGATTTCCACTACAGTTCTAGGAGGCATTATCTTTTTTTTTTTTTTTTTTTTTTTTTTTTTGAGATGGAGTCTCGCTCTTATCGCCCAGGCTCCCAGGTTGTAGGCACGATCTCGGCTCACTGCAACCTTCGCCTCTTGGGTTCAAGCAATTCGCCTGCCTCGGCCTCCCAAATTGCTGGGATTACAGGCGTGCACCACCATGCCCAGCTAGTTTTTGTATTTTTAGTAGAGATGGGGTTTCACCGTATTGGACAGGCTGGTCTCGAACTCCTGACCTTGTGATCCACCCACATCGGCCTCCCAAAGTGGGCATTATCACATTTTACAGCTGAGAAGATTAAGACTTAGACTGATTTATCTGAGATCATATGACAATACTAGGTCAGAACCCAGAACTATCATTTTGTATTAGATTTAGGTGAATAAGAGGCCTAAACATACAGTTTTATCCTCTTACATCAAGAGTCTAGACATAGGCAGTCCAGGGCTAGTGTTCGGGCTCTACCACTTGGCTTCCCCAAGTTGGCAGACACTGGAACCTCCAGCTCAGTATACAACATCCTACAATGTGGTCCCATCCCAAGATGGTTAGTAGAGCATCAGCAGGCAGCTTAATGGAGGAAGAAAACAGAAAGGGTATGCCCCATATATTTAAAGAGACTTCTTCAAGGTTTTACGTAAAAGTTCTATTTACATCTCAAGAGTCACATGGCTATCCTACCTGCAGAAAAAGCTGAAAATATGGTCACCTGGCTGGCAGAAATGTATCCAGCTATTAGCCACATGTGTTAGCACGTACCTGTAATCCTAGCTACTCTAGAGGCTGAAGCAGGAGGATCACTGGAGCCCAGGAGTTCTAGGCTGCAGTAAGCCATGATCATGCCACCGTATCCCATCCCTGGGTGACATATTGAGACCCTGTGTCTAAAACACACACATGCACTCATACTCTTAGCTAAAAATCAAAGTTATTTTGCTAAAGAAGGGAAGACTGGATTGGGAGGTAACTAGCAAACTCTGCTCCAGGAGGTGTTTTGATATTTAGTCTAGCGCTTTCCCACTGTTTCATATTGTCTCTGACTTGTTATGAAGGCTGCCATTTTTTCCAAAGAATTAAACATAAGTTCTCTCTCTCCCAGATGAATAATTACAGTAAAAGCTACAGTTTACTGAGGACTTGCTTTGTCTTAGATATTATTCTAAGAATTTTACGTTTTTAAACTTTTTTTTCCCCCCCAGATGGAGTCTCGTTCTGTCACCCACACTGGAGTGCAGTGACGCCATCTCGCTCACTGCAGCCTCTGTCTCCCGGGTTCACGTGATTCTCCTGCCTCAGCCTCCCGAGTATCTGGGACTACAGGCATGCGCCACCACGTCCAGCTAATTTTTGTATTTTTAGTAGAGACAGGGTTTCACCATGTTGACCAGGCTGGTCTCAAACTCCTGGCCTCAAGTAATCCACCCACCTTGGCCTCCCAAAGTGCTGGGATTACAACATGGTGAATCCCCGTCTCTACAAAATATACAAAAATTAGCCAGACATGGTAGCACGTGCCTGTAGTCCCAGCTTCCTGGGGAGTGAGGCAGGGACATTGCTTGAGCCTGGGAGGTCGAGGCTGCAGTGAGCTATGTTCCCACCACCCTGAGTGACAAAATGAGACCCTGTCTCAACAACAACAAAAGGCAGTATATTTAATGTGCCTTCTTGTTTTTCTCTTCACTGTCCCCTTTCTTCTTCTGTCACTCTCTCAGACCTGAGGCTAGGAAAAGAGATTGACATGCTTTAGGTTTTTAGAAAGTTTAGTTCCTGTACCTCATGTAGGAACTTGCATGAGAAAATTGTGCTGGGGAATTAATGAGATGTCTGCAGAGAATCCAGAGGCTCAAAGTTTCTATATCTTGTTAATAGAAATTTGATTTCCAAATACAATTTTGTATTTTCTCTTCACTCCCACTCCCTCTGGTACTCTTATGAGTTGTAGCAGGTAAGAGCACCATCCACTGATCGTCCCACACCGCTTCCCCATAGACAACTCAGTGAGAACCGGCACTTGAATTGACAGTCCACATGTAGACTGGGCTTCTCTGCCAGGGTGACGCATCTGCTGTTAAGTTGCTCTGAGGCTTGACTTCTCGCGTTCATTCAACATTAGATATTTATTGAACACTTACTATTTACCAGACATTCACAGTGCTAGGGATTTTGTGGTGAATGAGACAGGCATAGTCTCTTACCTCATAGATTTTACATTCCAGTTATGGGGATACAGAGCAAAGAAGTAAAGAAATAAATAAGCAAAATAAATTCACTGGGCGTGGTGGCTCATGCCTGTAATCCCGACACTTTGAGAGCCCAAGGCAGGAGGATTGCTCGAGTTCAAAAGTTCCTTTTTTTTTTCTTTTTTTGGAGACAGAGTCTTGCTCTGTCACCCAATGCTGGAGTGCAGTGGTGCCATCTTGGCTCACTACAACCTCCGCCTCCTGTGTTGAAGGGATTCGCCTGCCTCAGTCTCCCGGGTAGCTGGGATTACAGGTGCCCACCACCACACCTGGCTAATTTTTGTATTTTTAGTAGAAACGGGGTTTTACTGTGTTGGCCAGGCTGGTCTTGAACTCGTGTCCTCAAGTGGTCCGCCTGCCTTGGCCTCCTAAAGTGCTAGAATTACACTAGAATTACAGGCGTGTGCCACCGTGCCCAGCTGGTTGGTTTTTATTGATTTGCAAGTCTGAATATGAATCTTTGTCAGCTATGTGCATTGTGGATCACCCAGTTTATAGTTTAATTTTAAATTAATTTACAGCATTTTCTTTGCATAAAAATTTGTGTGACAAATCAGCCATTTCCTTTCCAGTTTATGTCTTATTTAAGAAATCCTTTCTGGCTGGGCATGGGGGCTCATGCCTGGAATCCCCCAGCATTTTGGGAGACCGAGGTGAGCAGATCACAAGGTTAGGAGTTCAAGACCACCCTGGCCTATATAGTGAAACCCAGTCTCTACTAAAAATACAAAAAAAGTTAGCTGGGCATGGTGGCCAGGCACCTGTAGTCCTAGCTACTCAGGAGGCTGAGGCAGGAGAATCGCTTGAACCCGGGAGGCGGAGGTTGCAGTGAGCCTAGATTGCACCACTGCACTCTAGCCTGGGTGACAGAGCAAGACTCCGTCTCAAAAAAAAAAAAAATCATTTCTGAGTGTGCAATATTGGCCATATATTGCTAAATGTTGAAGCTAGGTGATGATAGCAGGTTTATTTATTACACTAGTCTCTAGTCTCTCCTTTTATATATGTTTGAGATTTTCCATAATAAAATTTTAATTAAAACAAGACCACTGGCATTCATTTAATAGCAAATATGCTTAAAGTTTTATTGTATATAAAAATCAATTGTTTTAATAATAAGCCAGAGCTTATAATTTGGTGGGGTAAAAGGGTTACTTTTATCTCTGTGCAGGAGTTTGTCATTTGATCTTTTTTTAAAGACGGAGTCTTGCTCTTGTCGTCCAGGCTGGAGTGCAGTGGCGTGATCTCGGCTCACTGCAACCTCTTCCTCCTGGGTTCAAGCAATTCTCTGCCTCAGCCTCCTGAGTAGCTGGGATTACAGGCACCTGCCACCACGCCCAGCTAATTTTTGTATTTTTAGTAGAGACGGGTTTCACCATGTTGGCCAGGCTGGTGTCAAACTCCTGACCTTGTGATCCACCCGCCTGGCCTATTTGATGTTTTTTTTTTTTTAAACCACTTGATTGTTAGGTTAAAATATTACCAAGAGTAATTGCAATTTTACATGAAAAAAAAGGAAACCTTACATACCCTGAGGTCATAAAGAATATATACCAACATATTTTTCTTCTAAAAGTTTTAGTTTTACTTTAAATTTTTCTTCTGAATATTTGGTTTTCATTTTGGTTTTACATTTATGTCTTTGTTCCATTTGGAATTTATTTTGTAAAGCAGGTTTCCCTGTTTCCTAGTCCTCTGTTCTGTTCCATTGAGCCAGTGAGCAATTGCCATATTTACAATATTTAGTCTTCCCATCCATGAACATGATATACTGTTAATTTATTCAGGTCTTCTTTTATGCCCTTCAAGGATGTTTTGTAATATTTCCCATAAAACCCTCGCACAGATTTTGTTACTAATTTAAGTATCATATTTTCTAGTTAACTATTAATGGTATGAATATAAATGCTGTTTCTTTTTTTTTTTTTTTTTTGAGACGGAGTCTCGCTCTGTCGCCCAGGCCGGACTGCGGACTGCAGTGGCGCAATCTCGGCTCACTGCAAGCTCCGCTTCCCGGGTTCACGCCATTCTCCTGCCTCAGCCTCCCGAGTAGCTGGGACTACAGGCGCCCGCCACCACGCCCAGCTAATTTTTTGTATTTTTTAGTAGAGACGGGATTTCACCATGTTAGCCAGGATGGTCTTGATCTCCTGACCTCGTGATCCACTCGCCTCAGCCTCCCAAAGTGCTGGGATTACAGATGTGAGCCACCTCGCCCCCAGCCTAAATGCTGTTTCTTTATCTTCATCTTACATCTATCAACTTTACTGAACTGTCTTGTTCTATAATGGTAACCATAATAATAGAAATTCTATGTTTCTAACTTTAATAGCAATGCTTCTAAAGTTACATTATTAAATCTATTTGTCATGGATTTCTTTTTTTTTTTTTTTTTTTTTTTTTTTTGAGACAGAGCCTTGCTCTGTCACCCAGGCTGGAGTGCAGTGGCATGATCTCAGCTCATTGCAACCTCCACCTCCTGGGTTCAAGCGATTCTCCTGTCTCAGCCTGCCGAGTAGCTGTGGTTACAGGAGCGCACCACCACGCCAGGCTGATTTTTTTATTTTAAGTAGAAACAGGATTTCACCATGTTGGCCAGGCTGGTCTCGAACTCCTGACCTCAAGTGGTCTGCCTGTCTCAGCCTCGCGAAGTGCTGGGATTACAGGTGTGACCAACCATGCCTGGCCCATAGATTTGTGATAAGTGTATCTTGTCATGTTAAGACCATTCGCTTCTATTCCTAGATTGCTGAGTATTTTCTTTAAATCACAAATAAGGGCTGAATTTTATTAAATATTTTTTCTTAATCTGTTGATGATAGTGTAGTTTTTCTTTTTAACCTGTTTATATGGGGTTACACATTAATAATTTTTTTAAAATAGGTTCTTATTCCCATTGCCCAGGCTGGAGTACAGTGGTGCGATTATGGCTCACTGCAGCCTCGACCTCCCTGGGCTTGCCCCTCCCACCTCACCCTCCTGAGTAACTGAGACTATGGGCATGTGCCACCATATCTGGCTACTTTTTTGTATTTTTAATAAAGATGGGGTTTCGCCATCCTGGGCTCAAGCGATCCGCCTGCCTTGGCTTCCCAAAATGCTGGGATTACAGGTGTGAGCCACCCCACCCAGCCCAGTAATAAAATTCTAATTTAAAACTATCATTTTCTTCCTAAAATAGTCCAGTGTACTCTCCCAAACTTCAAAATGAGCATATTCTTGACTCATAGTTGTTTCATGGGAGATAACATATTTCTTTCATTTTCTTAAAGGTTTTTACTCTGCTGCTTGCATGCCATTTTCTTTCTTTCTTTCTTTTTCTGTCTTTTTGTCTTCCTCTTTCTTTCTTTCTTTCTCTCTCTCTCTTTTTTTTTTTTTTTTTGAGTCTTGCTCTGTCACCCAGGCTAGAGTGCCGTGGCGCGATCTTGGCTCAGTGCAACCTCCACCTCCTGGGTTCAAGTGATTCTCCTGTCTCAGTCTCCCAAGTAGCTGGGCCTACAGGTGCACGCCACCACGCCCAGCTAATTTTTGTATTTTTAGTAGAGACGGGGTTTCACCACGTTGGTCAAGCTAGTCTCGAACTCCTGACCTCAAGTTTGCAATAGTGGGTATACAATGCTTGGAGAGGCTGTTAGAATAACAAATTGGCAGGATAGTGGCATACAGAATACAGCATAAGGCAGTTGGATTGGCGTATAGGTTAATACCGTTGACATCAGAATCCGGTGGTTTTTAATCTAACTCTAGAGCCATCCTGTCCAGTACCACTTTCTGCAGTGGGGAAAGTGTTCTACTTGACACCGTCTAGTATGGTAACTACTGGCCGCATGTAGCTGTTGAACACATGAAATGCGGCTGGTCTACCTGAAGAAATGATTTTTTTTAATTGTGGTAAAATATACACAACATAAAATTTACCATTTCGTGCCCTCCCTGCACTTGACCGCCGCTGCTCCGTGCCGGCAGCCTGGGGACTGGGAGCACTCGTGCCTTGGGTATGCCGCCCCACTGGCTGGACAAAGCGGCGCGTGGATGTGCCTGTGGGGCCTTGCCCTGGGCATCGCTGCTGCTGCCAGCGCCCTTCACCCATGCTTCAGCATGGTGCCTATACTCACTTCCTGCAGGAGTCTGCTGGATACCTGCAGCTGGAGCACAGGAGAGATTTCAGCTCTTCTGGGAGTAGGAAGCTCTCCTTTGACACTCGTTCCTTAGTGTGCTTTCTGGAAGACCATGGGTTTGCTACTCAGCAAGCAGAAATCATTGTGTCTGCATTGGTCCAGGTACTGGAGGCCAACGTGGACATCGTCTACAAAGATATGGCCACCAAGATGAAGCAGGAGATCGCTCTTCAGCAAATAATGTCTCAGACTGTGAATGTGAAAAACGATATGATTACTTTGGAGAAGAGTGAATTTTCAGCCCTCAGAGCAGAACGTGAGAAAATAAAACTCAAACTACATCAGTTAAAACAAGTAATGGATGAAGTGATTAAAGTCCGAACAGATACTAAATTAGACTTCAACCTAGAAAAGAGCAGAGTAAAAGAATTGTATTCGTTGAATGAAAGGAAGCTGCTGGAATTGAGAACAGAAATAGTGACATTGCATGCCCAGCAAGATTGGGCCGTCACCCAGAGAGATAGGAAGATAGAAACTGAGGATGCTGGCCCCAAAACCATGCTTGAGTCATACAAGCTTGATAATATTAAATATTTAGCAGGGTCTATATTTACGTGCCTAACAGTAGCTCTGGGATTTTATCACCTGTGGATCTAATAAAGTGTCTATTTAAAGAGGGGGGGAAAAGGATTTACCATTTCAACCATTTCTTAAGTGTACAACTCAGTGGCATTAAGTACATTCACAGTGTTGTGCGACCATCACTACTATCCATTTCCAGAACTCTTCATCATTCCAAACGCCGTAACCATTACACAGTAACTCCTCATTCCCCCTTCCCCTGGCAACTTCTACTTTCTAGCTCTATGCATTTCCCTATTGTAAGTATCTCATATAAGTAGAATCATGCAATATTTGTCTTTTTTTTTTTTTTTTTTTTTTTGAGACAAGGTCTCTCTGTGTTGCCCAGGCTGGAGTGCAGTGTCACCATTACGGCTCACTGCAGCCTCGAACTCCCAAGCCCAAGGGATCCTCCCACCTCAGCTTCCTAAGTAGCTGGGACCACAAGCACGTACCACCACACCCAGCTAATTATATGCACGCGTGTGTTCACGCGTATATGTGTGTGTGTGCATGTGTGCGCATGTGTGCATGTATGTTTGTGTCTGTGTGCATGTGTGTGCGTGTGTGTGTAGAAATAGGGTCTCCCCATGTTGTCAAAGCTTCTCTTGAACTCCTCAGCCTCGAGTGATCGTCCCACCATAGCCTCCCAAAGTGCTGAGATTACTGGTGTGAGTTTCCACCTTTGATGCACAAAAGTGTTTAATTTTGATAAAGTCCAGTTTGCTTTTTTTTTTTTTTTTTTGAAACTGAGCCTCACTCTGTTGCCCAGGCCAGAGTGCAGTGGCTTGATCTTGGCTCACTGCAACCTCCACCTCCCGGGTTCAAGTGATTCTTGTGCCCCGCCTTTCAAATAGCTGAGATTACAGGGGCCCACCTGGCTAGTTTTTGTATTTTTAGTAGAGATGGGGTTTCACCATGTTGGCCAGTCTGGTCTCAACTCCTGACCTCAAGTGATCTGCCTGCCTCAGCCTCCCAAAGTGCTGGGATTACAAATATGAGGCACTGTGTCTGGTCTGCTTATTTTTTTCTTTTGTTTCCTATGCTTTTGATGTCATATCCAAGAAATCATTGCCAAATCCAGTGTCATAAAGATTTTCCCTTATGCTTTCTTCTAAGAGTTTTCTAGTTTTAGCTCTTTTTAGGTCTTTGATCCATTTTGAATTTGTTTTTGTATATGGTCTTAGGTAAGGGTTCAGCTTCATTCTTTTGCATGTGAATATCCAGGTTTTTTTAAGCTCTTTTTATTGAAAAGACTATTCCTTCCATAAGATTGGAATTGGTCTTGACACCCTTGTCAAAAGTCAGTTGACCCTGTATTTGTGAGAGTTTACTTCTAGGTTTTCTGTTCTATTCTATGCCAGTACCACACCGTTTTGATTAGTATAGTTTTGCAGTAAGTTTTGAAATCCAGAAGCATGAGCCCTTTAACTTTTGTTCTTTTTCACGATTAATTTGGCTGTATGGGGTCCCTTAAGATTCCATATGATTTTTTTTTTTTTTTTTTTGAGATGGGTTCTCACTCCATCTCCCAGGCTGGAGTGCAGTGGCACAATGTCAGCTCACTGCAACCTCTGCCTCTCAGGTTCAAGCGATTCTTGTGCCTCAGCCTCCCAAGTACCTGGGATTACAGGCATGCGCCACCACACCCAGCTGATTTTTGTATTTTTAGTATAGACGGTGTTTTGCCATGTTGACCAGGCTGGTCTCCAACTCCTGACCTCAAGCAATCTGCCCGCTTTGGCCTCCCAGAGTGCTGGGACTACTGGCATGAGCCATTGCATCCAGCTAGATTCCATATGAATTTTAAGATGTTTTTATGGATCTGTGGAAAATGCCATTGGGATTTTGATAGGAACTGCATTGAATCTGTAGATTGCTTTGGTTACTGTAGTCAGCTTAACAATATTAAGTCTTCCAATTCATGAACATAGAATGTTTTTCCATTTATTGGAACTCCGTTTTTAATTATATTCAATTTTAGGAAATTTAAATTTGTTTGGCCATATTGTAGCTAATCATCATCCTATTGGCCAGCAAGCCCAAGAGAATTATCCTCAGATTTTCTTTTCTTCCTAAATCGTAGGATCGTAGTGACGTCTTCAGAGGCCTTGTAGTATCTGAATCATCATTGGTCTCAGGATGTCTGGATTGTATGGAATGCATGGTTAGAAGGGTGAATAAATAGGGGGTTTCGGTCCCTCCAGGTTATCTCTGTCTCGGAGATATGAGAGGGCTACAAGTCTTGCCACATCAGACCCTGTCTCCTTCTCTATTTTCCCTTTGGAAATGTCTGTTTTTCTCCAGAGCCAAAGAGAACCTCTTGTTTTCCAAAAAATTAGCAAAAAGTAGACTCTGCTCTGGCAGGAATGGAACTCCTTCTGCCTCTTCCTATTTCCATAGAAGAAGAGACCATAGTGCCCCAAATGAGGTGTTTTTAAAAGAAATTCCTTCTCCAAATGGAGATGCTGATTATTTTATAGCAGCGTATGTACCTTGTTCATCATTCTGATGGGGTTCTCATGGGAACAGCAACAAAAAATGCCTTTCGGTGCCAATCATGGTTGTGCTCCCAATTGCATTTTCCTTGAGGGTCAGCAGTCTAAGAGATGCCTGCACGTTAGAAACAAAAAATAAAGAATAAACGCTGTAAATAATTAATTAAACCAGGAAACCCCCTTTCAGTGTCCATTCGTTTTTCTGCCATGTAAGAAGTAATGGTAGGATGCGGAAGACCTGTGTCCTTAGTACTGTTCCGTCTCCCTGCTGCCCCTTCCCCAGCTTCTCTCTAATGACTCCCCGGGGAGATCACAGGTCTCAGAGTAAACAGGAAACCTGACTAAGTAAAATAGGGAGTCTTAGAGCCTAGAGGGTAAGAGACACAGCTCTCCAGGAAGAAGATGCCTTTGGCCTTGGACAGCCAGGAGCAGTGGGTTTGTGGGGTTTTATATAAACACTCTGTTACGACTCTCTGCGGAGGAACCCTCCAATCCACTTTAGGCCAGAAATGGAACTTTGTTCCCTGGCCTGCCCATGACTACTCTACATCAGTCTCTCCTGAAAAGAGGCTAGAATATTACTTGTGTATTCAGAATTGGACTAACCCAGTAGTTAGCCAGTTCGCTAAAACTGATTTCTCTACCTTACTGCCCTGTGGCCTGTACCCCACCCTTATTGTCACCCCTTTCTTTGTACAGAGATAACTTCTTTACTGTAGCATTTGGGATTTCCCACACTACAGTTGATCTGTCACCGCACTACCAAAATGCCTCTGCCAACCACTTGGGTGTCCTGGTGTCAGAAGTTAGAAGTGCCCCAACTGTCCCACCCAGCCTGCTCAGCTCTCCTCTCTCTCTCCTGGGTTGTTGTTCTGGAATGATATTCCTCTTGGATTCAGTGTGTGCAGTCTGATTTGGGTGGAGCCTTGAGCTGTACACAGGAGTGCTGGTAATGTCTGGCCTTCAGTGCTGCCAAAGGCAAGAAGCTGGCCTCTCAGTGTAAAGCACATAGTTGGATTGCTGGGGCAGTGTTAAATGGAGGGTGGGGTGAGCAGATAGCACTCTCTTCCTGCTCTGTTTTCAGGAAGTGATTATAAAAGCAGCTCTAAGTTTGAATGAAATCAAAAGAATGAATTGTCACCTTCCCCCAACAAAAACCAGATGAGCACAAACATATACACAAACACACTCCTCCTCTGCACTCCATCCAAGATCCACACCCTGGCTCTGCCGGGCTTCACTTCGGTGCTATTTCAGAGCAAAGAGCCTTTGTTGTGCCATCTCCATTCTCTTCCCTGGGAGAGAGCTTAGTAGTCTTATGAATGAGAGCTCGACTTCCCTTTTGGCATACTGTGGGTTTCACTTCCCTGTCCTCTCTCCTTCCAAGAAGAGTGTGGGCAGAAGTGTATAGGTGGGAGGAATAACCATTGCCAAGATTTAATTCATCAGTTAGGGATTGGGGTTTCAGAACTGGTAATAAAATTGTTTGCAGTTAATTGTCAATGAAAGGAGTTTCTGTGCCGTTAACACACTTCCATTCCTTCCTTCCAGCTGCCTCTTTCCGTCGTACTGCCTTTTTCCTGGTACCTCCATGGGGTTTAAGCCATATGGCTCTTAGGAATATCGTTTGGAGTCTCCAGAAGTGGAAGATTTGGCTGTGCAGCACACAGCACCCCTGGGTCTACTCCTCCCCTCCCCTCTCAGCAGCTGTTTGCCACTGACCGAGGTGGCGACCAAGCCTATGTGTGTGGCCAGAGTCAGTGACAAGCCTCCCACCCAGGCCTGGGGAAGCCCTTAGCCAGCGCGGTTCCTGAGGCAGCCGCCAACACGCCAGGGTTTCCTCATACCTTCAGGGCTGCGGTGGAGCAGCCAGCGTTATGCGGCAGCATTGTCTAGCGTTGCTTCACTTGACTTCTCTGTCCCCACCCTCTGTGTTTAAGGGAATCTGGCCATCATCCAGCAGGGAAGAAGCTGGCATTTACAGAGAGTGGCTTTCTGCCACCCCTCATGTGGTAGGAGCCAGGACCACCTCCATCTCTGCTTCCTACCCATGTGGCAAAGAGGAAGGGGCCCCTCTGTGCTCAGTCTCCTGTTGTGGAGTTTCGAGTTGCCTAAGATGAGAATAAGGCTGTCTGCCAGGTTATCTGCCCAGATAAACATTTATTGTTTACAGGGACATGTTTCAGCTGCTCTGGCACCTCCCACTGGTGAGATCCTCTAGTATCTTGAGGTTTTAAGCCAGTATATGGGGCCGACGTCCAGACACAGAACTACTGGAGCTGGAGAGGCTAAGTGGCTCGCGGCTTCTAACTTAGCTTCGCCATTGCCCCCCGCCCCGCTTCCCACTGCCAGAGCTAGATTTACATCTCTTGTTCTTAGTTCTGCCTCCTGGATATTGAAGCTGCATCTACATTTTAAACCTTTCTAGCCTTTAGAATTTGGGGATTTATATGCGATCCAGTGTTAGGACACAGCAAGCTGAAGACTTCTTTTACATGGCAAAACCAGCCCTCTGACACTGTGTTTTCCTTAATAGCTAATGAGACAGCTGTTTAGTGACGGCAACAGGGATTGATGCAGATTTTCTTTTTTTAATCTGACTAGGTCCACTGCTTCCAGATATTGTCTTTTTATTTTTTTAGTGATGTGATTGATTTTCCAACATTTTATTATACAGCAAAGTTGAACATTCTCCAGTGAGCTCACTTATACCCAGTACCTACATGCTGTGATTCTCATTTTACTGTATTTGTCTTATCATGTTATCTGTTTATTTCTCTCTCTCCCTCTCTTCCCCCATCTATCCACCCATCCATCCATTTTTTCTTCTTTTAAATAATTTTTTTAATGCCTATAATCCTAGCACTTTGGGAGGCCAAGGCGGGCAGATTGCTTGCAGCCAGGAGTTCGAGACCATCCTGGCCAACATGGTGAAACCCCGTCTCTACTAAAAATACAAAAATGAGCTGGATGTGGTGACGGGCACCTATAATCCCAGCTATTCAGGAAGCTGAAGCATGAGAATTGCTTGAACCCAGGAGGGCAGAGGTTGCAATGAGCTGAGATTGCGCCATGCACTCCAGCCTGGGCGACAGAGTGAGACTATCTCAAAAGAAAAGAAAAGAAAAGACCAGCCTGGGCAACATGGCGAAACCCCATCTCCACAAAAAATACAAAAATTAGCCAAATGTAGTGGCTAGCACCTGTTGACCCAGCTACTCGGGAGAGCTGCTTTAGTAGCCCAGGAGGTCAAGGCTGTAGTGAGCCCAAAATCATGCTACTGTACTCCAGCCTGGGTGATACTCTCTCTCTCTCTACACACACACACACACACACACACACACACACACACACACACACACACACACACACACAGACAGACATGTACATATATACATATATGTGTGTGTGTGTATATATAAATAATCATATAATTATATTATAATCCCTTATCTCCACCTCTGTCCCCAGAGGCAAGCTCTGTTCTGATTTTTTCCACCAAGATTAGATTTGCCTATTTTAGAACCCCATATAAATGGAATCACACAATAAGTACATGCTCTTGAGAAAGGCTTTTTTCATTTAGCTTAATCTTTTTGAGATTCCTCTGTGTTGTTACATATATTAGTATATATTAGTAGCTCACTCCTTTTTATTGCTGAGTAGTATTCCATTTTATGAATATGTCACAGTTTATCTGGTTGACAGTGAATCTGTTTCTAGTTTTTAGCTGTTATGAATAAAGTTGCTGTGAATAGTTGTACACAAATCTGTTTTTGGACATGTGTTTTCACTTGAGTAAATGCCTAGGATTAGAATTGCTGAGTCAGAGATTAGATGTGCATTTTTTATTAGAGATCCCCTGGACCAAGCTTGTCCAACCCGTGGCCCACAGGCTGCACGCAGCCCAGGATGCTTTGAATGCAGCCCAACACAAATTCGTAAACTTTCTTAAAACATTATGAGCTTTTTTGCCCCCCGCTTTTTTTTAAGCTCATCATCTATAGTTGGTGCTATTATATTTTACGCGTGGCCCAAGGCATTTCTTCCATCGTGGCCCAGGATACCCCTGCCCTACAGCTTTTTCCAAAGATGATTTTGTTAGACTCCAACAATTATGACACTTCCCATTGCTTCACATCCTCTTTCTGGTAGGTGTGTGGTGACTGGTGATATATCATTTTTGGCTTTAATTTGTATCTCCCTGATGACTAATGAAGTTGTATGCTTTTTGTTTTTTCAGACAGGGTCTTGCTCTATCACCCAAGCCAAAGAGCAGTGGCACAATCACAGCTCACTGCAGACTTGACCTCCTGGGTTCGGGCAATCCTCCTGCCTCAGCCTCTCAAGTAGCTGAGACTACAGGTGTGTGCCACCACATTGGGCTCATTTTATTACAATTTTTTGTAGAGACAAGGTATTGCTATGTTGTCTATGCTGGTCTCCAGCTTCTGGGCTCAAGCAGTCCTCCTGCCTCACTCGTCCAAAGTGCTAGGCGTGAGCCCCCATGCCCAGCTGAAGTTGTATACTTTTTCATATGCTTACTGACTTTTTTGCCTATCTTCCTTATGAAGGATCTTTTCACATCTTCCTCCCATTTTCTTGAGTTATTTTCTTGTTGAGTTCCTTATGTATTCTGGATGTAAGTAATTTGTCAGATACATGTTTTGTGAATATTTTCACAAAGCCTGTGTCTTACCTATTCATTTTCTTAATATCTTTTGATAAGCAAAAGGTTTTAATTTTCATGAAATCAATTTATCCTGCTTTTCTTTTATGGTTATTACTTTATGAGGGCTAAAAATCCCAAGTGATGAGGATCTTCTACTCGGTTCTCCTCTAAGCGCTGTATGGAGGCCGGGCGCGGTGGCTCACGCGTGGAATCCCAGCACTTTGGGAGGCCGAGGTGGGTGGATCGCTTGAGGCCAGGAGTTCAAGACCAGCCTTACCAACACGGTGAAACCGTTTCTCTACTAAAAATATAAGACGTTAGCTGGACATGGCCGGGTGCAGTGGCTCATGCCTGTAATATCAGCACTTTGGGAGGCCGAGGCGGGTGGATCGCGAGGTCAGGAGATCGAGACCATGCCGGCTAACACAGTGAAACCTGGTCTCTACTAAAAATACAAAAAAATTAGCCAGGCATGGCAGCGGGCGTCTGTAGCCCAATCTACTTGGGAGGCTGAGGCAGGAGAATGGCATGAACCCGGGAGGCGGAGCTTGCAGTGAGCCGAGATCACGCCACTGCACTCCAGCCTGGGCAACAGAGCAAGACTCCGTCTCAAAAAAAAATAAATTAGCTGGGCATGGTGGTACATGCCTGTAATCCCAACTACTCAGGAGGCTGAGGCACAAGAATCGCTTGAACCCAGGAGGCAGAGGTTGCAGTGAGCCGAGATCGTGCCACTGTACTCTGGCCTGGGCAACAGAGCAAGACTCCGTCTCAAATAATAATAATAAATAATTCTGGGCTGGGTGCGGTGACTAATGCCTATAATCCCAGCACTATGGAAGGCTGAGGCAGGCGGATCACTTGAGGTCAAGAGTTCGAGACCAGCCTGGCCAATATGGTAAAACCCTGTCTCTATTAAAAATACAAAAATTATGGCCGGGCGCAGTGGCTCATGCTTGTAATCCCAGCACTTTGGGAGGCCGAGGCGGGCAGATCACAAGGTCAGGAGATTGAGACCGTCCTGGCTAACACAGTGAAACCCCATCTCTACTAGAAATACAAAAAATTAGCCGGGCGTGGTGGCACATGCCTATAATCCCAGCTATTTGGGAGGCTGAGTCAGGAGAATTGCTTGAACCCGGGAGACGGAGGTTGCAGTAAGCCAAGATCGTGCCACTGCACTCCAGCCTGGGCGACAGAGCAAGACTTCGTCTCAAAAAAAAAAAAAAAAATTAGCCAGGTGGGTGCCTGTAATCCCAGCTACTCAGCAGACTGAGGCAGGAGAATTGCTTGAACCGGGAGACGGAGGTTGCAGTGAGTCGAGGTCACACCTCTGCACTCCATCCAGCCTGGGCAACAGAACGAGATTCTATGTCAAAAAAAAAAAAAAAAAGCTACATTGAGCCAGGCACAGTGGCCCATGCCTATAATCTCAACACTTTATCAGTCTAAGGCAGGAGAATCCCTTCAGTCCAGGAATTCGAGACCAGCTTGGACAACATAGTGAGACCCCCATGACTACAAAAAAATTAAAAAATCAGCCAGACATGGTGGCCTACACCTGTGGTCCCAGCTACTTGCAGCCGTGCACGGCAAGGCTGCAGTGTGCCATGTTTGCACCACTGCACTTCAGCCTGGGCAACAGAGCAAGACCGTTGCTCAAAATTTAAAAAGACAAAAAAAAAAAAAAAAGCTATCTAGATTTAGCTTTTATATTTAGGTCTATGAGACATTGGAAATAAATTTTTTTTTGAGACAGAGTCTCACTCTTACACCCAGGCTGGAGTGCAGTGGCACGATCTTGGCTCACTGCTACCTCTACTCCCCAGGTTCAAGTGATTCTCGTGCCTCAGCCTCCTGAGTAACTGGGACTACAGGTGCACACCACTATGCTTGGCTAATTTTTGTATTTTTAGTAGAGACGGGGTTTCATCATGTTGGCCAGGCTGGTCTCTTAACTCCTGACCTCAAGTGATCTGCCTGCCTCAGCCTCCCAAAGTGCTGGGATTACAGGCATGAGCCACTGCGCCCATTCCTGTTGTTTTGTTTTTTGAGACGGTCTTGCTCTGTCACCTAGGCTAGAATGCAGTGGCAGGGATGACTCACTGCAGCCTCAACCTCCCAGGCTCAAGTGATCCTCCCACCTCAACCTCCCAAGAAGCTGGAACTATAAGCAAGCACCACCACACCTGGCTAATTTTTTAATTTTTTATAGAAATGGGGTCTCACTATGTTTCCCAGGCTGCTCTTGAACTCCTGAACTCAAGTGATCCCCCTGCCTTGGCCTCCCAAAGTGCTGGAATTACAGACATGAGCCAGTGTGCCTGGTCTTCAAATTAATTTTGTATATGGTGTAATATAAGAACTAAAACTTTTTTCCCCCCATATGGATATCAAGTTATATCAGCACTATTTATTGAAAAGGCATTTCTTGCCTCTGCTGGATTGCTTTGGTACTTTTTTTCAAATATCAGATGAGCATATAAGCAGGGGTGTCATGCTTTCTGTTCTTTTTGTTCGTTTTATTTAAAAATTCTTACGACAAACGCTAGAATCCTTATGGGAGTAAGTTTAATTTACGTATCAGTTTTGAGAAAATTGACATCTTAACAACATTTTTCTAGTTTATGAACATAGTATAGCTAGCCTTTTACCTAGGTCTTTTATACTTTTCACTGTACAGGTCTTATACATTGTCTGTTAAGTTTATTCCTAAATACATTTTATTTTTTATGCCATTATAAATGGAATTGTTTCTAAATTGTATTTACCAGTCTTTTGCTGCTAGAATATGAAAATACAATTGACTTTTGTATATTGATGTATCCTTCAATCCTAAAGACATTTTTATTAGAATTTAATCTAGTAGTTATTTGCGCATTATTTGGGATTTTTTGTGTTAAACAATCATGTCATCTGCAAACAGAGGCAGTTCTTTTCCATTTTTATGCTTTCAGCGTTTTTTTTCTTGCCTTAATACAGTGTCTGAGATCTCCACTAGTGAGTTGAAAGGAAATGGTGAGAGCAGGCATCCTTGCTAGGACCACGTATATCTGTGGTCCCAGCTACTTGGGAGGCTGAGGTGAAAGGATCACTTGAGCCCAGGAGGTCAAGGCTGCAGTGAGCCATGTTCACGCTACTGCACTACACACTGGGCGACAGAGAGAGACCCTGTCTCAAAAAAAAAAAAAAATTTAAAAGCCATACTGGTGACTGTCTAGAAGTATTTCATTGTGATTTTTGTTTTGTTTTGCTTTCTTTTTTTGTTGTTGTTCTCATTGTGATTTTAATTTGCATTTCCCTGATGAGTAATGATATTGAGTGCCTTTTCTTCTGCTATTGGCCATTTGAATACCCTCTTCTGGGGAGTGCCTGTTCCTGATTTTTACCCATGTTTTTCTTGGATTCTTTGTCTTTTTTCTTACTGATTTATAGGGTGTTTTTTTTTTCCAGTATTCTGAATATAAGTCCTATGTTGGATAGAAGTATTGAAAATATCTTCTCGCAGTCTGTGGTTCATCTTTTCAGGGTTTTTATTTTTTTGAGGCAGAGTCTCGCTCTGCCGCCCAGGCTGGAGTGCAGTGGCGCAATCTCAGCTCACTGCAACCTCTACCTCCTGGGTTCAAGTGATTCTCCTGCCTCAGCCTCCTGAGTAACTGGGATTACACATGTACCCGCCACCACACCCAGCTAATTTTTGTATTTTTAGTAGAGACGGGGTTTCACCATGTTGGCCAGGCTGGTCTCAAACTCCTGACCTCAAGGAACTCCTGACCTCAAACTCCTGACCCCACCCACCTCAGCCTCCCAAAGTGCTGGGATTACAGGCGTGAGCCACCATGCCCAGCCATCTTTTCAGTATTAATGGTATCTTTTTATGAACACAAATCTTAGTTAAAATAATTTTTTCTTGGTCAGGTACAGTGGCTCATGCCTGTAATCTCAACACTTTGGAAGGCCGAGGCGGGAGGATCCCTTGAGGCCAGGAGTTCAGTACCAGCCTGGGCAACATAGCAAGACCCTGCCTGTACAAAAAAAATAAAAAATAAAAAATAGCTGGGCAGGGTGGCTCATACCCATATGTACCAACTACTCAAGAGGCTGAAGTGGGAAGACTGCTTGGGCCGAGGCAGTTGAGGGTGCAGTGAGCCAAGATCATGCCACTGCACTCTAGCCTGGGCAACACAGCGAGATCCTGTCTCAAAAATAAATAAATGAAATAATAAATAGATATATTTTTATTAAAAGTTAGTGAGTGCTTTTTGTGTCTTATTTAAGAAATGTGGCCAGGCACAGTGACTCACACCTGTAATTCTTGCACTTTGGGGGGCCAGGGTGGGAGGACTGCTTCCATCCATGAGTTCAAGACCAACCTGGCCAATATAGCAAGACCCTGTCTCTAAAATTAAATAAATAATTACCCTGGCATGGTGGTACACGCTTAGCTACTGAAGCAGGAGGATTGCTTGGACCCGGGAGTTCGAGGCTACAGTAAACTATGATCATGCCACTGTACTCCAGCCTAGGGGACAGAGCAAAAACCTGACTTCCCACCTCCCCCGCAAAAAAGAGAAATGTTTGCCTATTCCAAGTGCAACATATTGGAAGGAAGATATTCTTCTGTATTTTGATCTTGAAACTATATTATTTTACCATTCACACTTGGGTCTGTGGTTCATTTTATTGAAAGATCAGTTTTCCCCACTGAACTGCAATGATGCCATGTCATAAGTCAGATGATTATATATGTTTGGGTCTATTTCTATACTGTATCTTCTTCCCCAAAGGTCTATTTATCTCTGCTTGTGCCATTACTATTAAATTTTTAAATATTAGTTTGAAAGTTTCCGAAGTTTGTGCCTGTTTTCACATTGACTCTTCTAGAAAGAGGTTTACCAATTCCTTAGATTGGTATCCTGTTGAACTGCAATACTTTTTTATATGTTAGGTGATTTTTTTTTCATCCTTACTAGGGCCAGTCTATACTTGTTCATATTGAGAGTTTAGATGGGCCTCTTAAGATTTTCAGGTGCAGACAAAGGGAAAAGAGGAACATTTGATTTATACTGCCAGTGTTAAACACTCTGTTTGCTAGAGTAGACTAGGTTTCTCAACCTAATGTTATTCTGGGTTTTTTGCCTTTATTAGAACCCATCCTCCTCAGCTGTGTCTTCCTTCTGCCTCATCTGGCCACCCACACCAGCTATCAGTTAGCAGCCACAAATACCTGCTGTGTTTCCCATCAACCCTGGTAGGATCCAGTTGTGCCCTTCTTTTTTTTTAATTATTTTATTTTATTTTATTTTATTTTATTTTATTTCATTTCATTTCATTTTTTTATTTTATTTTATTTTATTTTATTTTATTTTATTTTATTTTATTTTTGCCCAGGCTGGAGTGCAGTGGCACGATTTCGACTCCACAACCTCCGCCTCCTGGATTGAAGAGATTCTTGTGCCTCAGCCTCCTGAGTAGCTGGGATTACAGGCGCCTGCCACCACGCCCAACTGATTTTTGTATTTTTAGTAGAGATGGGGTTTCACCATGTTGGCCAGGATGGTCTCAAACTCCTGAGCTCAGGTGATCCACCCGCCTTGGCCCCCCAAAGTGCTGGGATTACAGGTGTGAGCCACCGCGCCTGGCCCCTGTGCCCTTCCAACTGCATCACAACCCACCTTGGTTCTTGTCTTAGTTGCCCCAAGATAAGGGTATTAATGTGGTACTGCCGCTAAGGTCTCATCTGTATTCTTACTCAGCCTGAAAAGGGTTGAACATCAGTTGTCCTTTTTCTCACTCCAGTTCCACCCACTGTTAGACTTGCAGACAGTTTCCCAAAGTTTCTGGTATGGGGTTGCCTAGTACTGATGGATGCTTTCTTCATTTTTATTTATTTATTTATTTTTAGTCATTTCAATGGGAAACTGGAAGGATAGAAGAGAAGCATATGCTTAATGTCATTCTGATTAAACAAATCAATGTTAGTTTTGTTTTCATTTTGGGGAGTATTTTTTGTTTTGTTTTGGGATGGAGTCCCACTCTGTCACCCAGGCTGGAGTGCAATGGCGCAATCTAGGCTCACTGCAACCTCTGCCTCCTGGGTTCAAGCTATCCTCCTGCCTCAGCCTCCCAAGTAGCTGGGATTACAGGCATGCGCCACCGTGCCCAGCTAATTTTTGTATTTTTTTAGTAGAGACGGGGTTTCGCCATGTTGGCCAGGCTGGTCTTGAACTCCTGACCTCAGGTGATCCGCCTGCCTCGGCCTCCCAAACTGCTGAGATTACAGGCGTGAGCCACCGTGCCTGGCCTCAATGCTAGTTTTTAAGAAATGAGTTTCTAGCCTTCCAGATTGAAATACTTGGAAGGTCATTGTTCATTTGATAAAGGTAGGCATTGGACTTAGATTGTGCTTTCATGGGTTTATATGCATGGGTTTGTTACTTCATAACTAGTTCCACCACTCTCGTGTGACACTCAGGAGGAGATAATTTAGTGATTTCATGAAGATGCTCCTTAAGTCTTTCTGTGTTGGGTCTCAACCCTGTAGGCTGGATATTAATAGGGACCATACCCCAAAGGTCCAGGAAAGGAAAGGTGAAAATAATAAGATCTCCAGAATGGAGTAGGAGTGATGGTTTTGAGGCCATGGGTTTTAGATGATCTAGCTGTTTGCTTTCATTTGATAAGAATGCCATATAGCTCACTTGGCAGCTGTGTAAGAGAAAGCAGTCCTGATAACCCAGAGACCCATTTAAGAATTGTGTGCTCTCGTGGAGCCAGCACCCTTTCCCAAGCCGGCTTTGTTCAAGACCCAGCTGGAGAGCAGGGATGTGTGCTGTATTCTTTGTAACCCTAGTGCATGTTATAATGTTCAGGAATTGGTAAGCAAATGAGTATTCATTTAGAAATTGGGCCTTAGGCCCAGCATAGTGGCTCATGCCTGTTACCCAAGCACGCTGTGAGGCCGAGGCGGGTGGATCACTTGAGCCCAGGAGTTCGAGTCCAATCTGGGCAAATAGGCCCTATCTCTACAAAAAATAAAAAAAAAAATTGGCCAGGCATGGTGGCACACGCCTGCAATGCTAGCTGTTCACTAATCAGGAGGCTGAAGTCGCGGGGAGGATCACTGGAGCCTGGGAGGCTGGGAGATGGAGGCTGCAGTAAGCCTTGATCATGCCACTGCACTCCAGCCTGGGTGACAGAGCAAGACTCTGTCTCTTAAAAAAGAAAATAAAAGGCTGGGAACAGTGGCTCACACCTGTAATCCCAGCACTTTGGGAAGCTGAGGCCAGTAGATCACTTGAGCTCAGGAGGTCAAGACCAGCCTGGTTAACATGGTGAAACCCCATCTCTACCAAAAATACAAAAATTAGTCAGGCATGGTGACGCATGTCTGTGGTCCCAGCTACTCAGGAGGCTGAGGCAGGGGGATTGCTTGAGCCTGGGAGGCAGAGGTTGCAGTGAGCTGTGATTGCGCCACTGCACTCTAGCCTGGGTGGCGGAGTGAGAGTCTGTCTCAAAAAAAAAAAAAAAAAAAAGTTTGGAGCTCATTACACCTGGCTTTTATTGTTTGCTGTTTTGCTTTTTAATATAGCTAAAGTATGCAGATTTATTTAGCTTTAAGTTTTGTTCTCAATTCCCTAGTGGAAAAAAAAAAGCACCAAAAAAATTCAATTTTTACATTTCAATTCAAATGCAAGAACTTGGAACAGACCATTGCCTTTTATTTATTTATTTATTTATTTATTTATTTATTTATTTATTTATTTTTTATTTTATTTTTTTTGAGACAGAGTCTTGCTCAGTCACCCAGGCTGGAGTGCAGTGGCACGATCTCGGCTCACTGCAACCTCCGCCTCCCGGGTTCATGCCATTCTCCTGCCTCAGCCTCCCGAGTAGCTGGGACTCCAGACGCCCGCCACGACGCCTGGCTAATTTTTTTTTTGTATTTTTAGTAGAGACGGGGTTTCACCATGTTAGCCATGATGGTCTCGATCTCCTGACCTCGTGATCCACCCGCCTCAGCCTCCCAAAGTGCTGGGATTACAGGCGTGAGCCACCGCGCCCGGCCGACTTTTTTTTTTTTAAGAGGGAAGCGGTAATAGGAAATTTAATCAGGAAGATTTCTAAGCTTCAATTGTAAAGATACCTCCTTTTCCCAAGAGTTAGGCCTAATGAAGACTATACCTACCAGTACGGAGGGGGAGGGGATAAATCACAACTAAAGACCTTGGCACTTCTGTAAGAAATTTAAATAACAGGCAGACATATAGAGATTTGTAAATATGTACTTGCTGCCAGATAAACCACAGGGAAGATACTGTATTTGTGGTCCAGGGAAGTTTAAATATTTGTGGTCAAACTTAAAATTCAACGTAAAACTCTCATCTGTGATGGAAACTTTCCAGAAACTGCATGGAGCGGGTGTGCAAGCTGCATAAACTCTCAAAGGCCTCTCCTCTCACCAGGCTGAGCTGGAAAAGCCTGTTCTCCTTCCTTCAAACTGTGTAGCTAACAAGCCCTTCGATCAGAGAAGGAACTCCTTGATGCTCCAGCCACCACCCAAGAAACCCGCTCTAAGGACCTTTCGGGCCAGGCACAGTAGCTCATGCCTGTAATCCCAGCACTTTAAGAGGCCAAGGCCGGAGGATCCCTTGAACCTAGGAGTTCAAGGCCAGTCTGGGCAATATAGGGAGACCCCGTTTCTATAAAAAATTAGCCAGGCGTGGTGGCAGGCGCCTGTGGTCCCAGCTACTTGGGAGGCTGAGGTAGAAGGATCGCTTGAGCCCAGGAGGTCGAGGCTGCAGTGAGCTATGATCACACCACTGTACTGCAGCCTGGGCAACAGCGAGATCCTGTGATCTCAGAGGACCTCTTTGAGCGAGATAAGAAAGGACCTCTCTTTTTTGTGGCTTGCACCTTCAAGTCTGATCAAATATTACCTTTCTTAGGGTCTTCTATTCACCATCTTATATAAAATAGCAATACTCTTCCCCACCCTGCCGCTCTCTGTCTCCCTTACCCAACTTTTTTTCACAGTACTTCCCACTACTGTCTGCTTATTTGATTCTCAGTCTCAGAAAAATGTTTTAAGTTCCATGGGAACAGGAGCATTGTTTTATTCACTGCTGTATTCCTGGTGGTTTGAATAGGGCCTGCCACACCATAGCATGTGCTTAATAAATATTTATTGAATTTCAGTAGAATACATTTAGAACTCAGACTGTGAGATCAGCCTGAAACACCTCAGATATCTTACTTTGTGTTCTGTGAGGCTCTACGAGCTCCTCTGATAAGGAAACTGGCACTGAAGGTGGGCGTAGCGGCCTTCAGATGTACCAGGCAGCTCTTGCCGTAACACCTATAGCCTACACATCGAAATGGAATTGGAGCCGCTTAATTTTCACAGTAAATACATATATAGCACTCTTTGTTTCTGGCCTTCAAATTTGTTGATGACCCTCCTGATATTGATTCCTCTGGGGTGGGAGCTCTTTCTGGGCAGCGTGCAGACTGGAGCACATGTATATACTTTGCACATTATTTTGCCCAACTTTTTGTCATTTGAGACCCTGCTTGGCTGGGGAGACTGTTGTTGCTGACCTCTCCCAGGCCTGTTGGACTTGATGATGACTGATGGACTTGAGCACCTCATCAGGGTCTTTCTTCCGTCTGCTTTCCTTTGCTGCTTCCGCCAGATCTTTCCATCAGTCCCCCCAACACAGAGTGCTTTATTGTTGATGATCCTTAGTATTTGGCATGAAATGTGCTTCACAAATGATGTTGATTATCTTTAAAATACCGTGTGTGTGCGTGTGCGTGTGTCATAGTATATCACCACTTACATAAATGTATCTATAAAAGGCATAGAGAGAGCTCGTAGTTAATCACATATGTCAGTAAATGCAGAACTATCTCTGAAGAACATACCAGAAACTCGCAACAGGGCCTAAAAATCAAAGGTGGGAAGGTTTTGTTTTTAAAATTCGGCCTTTGTATTGCTTTTTTTCACCATGTGCCATGTTTCTGAACTCCACGTTACTAAGCAGCTTTGGCTTCAGTTTGGCCTGGTACTTGATTCTGAGATGCCACCATATCTCATTGAACTCCTTTGGTACTTTGTCAGCAGCAAGAGTGACTTTAGCTTAAGTAACAGAATTAAGTGACAGCTTTTAGTTCTGTGTTGTCTTTTTTTTTTTTTTTTTTTTTTTTGAGATGGAATCTCACTCTGTCGCCCATACTGGAATGCAGTAGTGCAATCTCTGCTCACTGCAACCTCTGCCTCCGGGTTCAAGCAATTCTCATGCCTCAGCCTCCCAAGTAGTTGGGACTGCAGACGTGCACCACCACGCCTGGCTAATTTTTGTATTTTTAGTAGAAACAGAGTTTTGCCATGTTGGTCTTGAACTCCTGAGCTCAGGTGATCCACCCACCTTGGCCTCCCAAAGTGCTGCGACTACAGGTGTGAGCCACTGCGTCTGCCCTTGTGTTGTCAATTTTTTTAAAGTTTAGGGTGTATATAGGTTTCTCTAGTATAGGCTGGTCCAGAAATTTTGTCTCTGTTTTGTCAGTATAAAGCACTGAAACTATACTTCAAAGTAGTTTATAATGGTTTGCGTGTCTATATGTGTTCTTCAAAAGTAGAGTAAGCAGCACGTAGTTATTGGATTCCTGTCTCTAATCCTATTCTTAATCTACTGCCTTGAAAATATTTAATAAAGAATGAGAAAGGCCATGCACGGTGGCTCACACCTGTAATCCCAGCACTTTGAGAGGCTGAGGCAGGCGGATCACTTGAGGCCAGCAATTCAAGACCAGGCTGGCCAACATGGCGAAACCCTGTCTCTACTAAAAATACAAAAATTAACCAGGCGTGGTGGCACGCGCCTATAATCACAGCTACTTACGAGGCTGAGGCACGAGAATCACTTGAACCCAGGAGGTGGAGGTTGGAGTGAGCCAAGATTGTGCCACCGCACTCCAGCCTGGGTGACAAAGCAAGTCTCCATCTCAAAAAAAAAAAGAGAGACATATATTCTAACAGCAGCTTTTTGGTCTCTTTTTCAAATCCTGTGAGAATATACTACATAGACTTGGTAATCAGGAATGGATCAGATGAGATACTGTCAACTCTAATGCTATTTTGCCAGGACAACCTGCAGAAAAATACATCTTCCTGTTCTAGATAGATGTCATAGCCTTTATTATGCTCTGTGCTAGTCATGAGAAAACGCCAGATAATTAATGTATTGTCTCTGGGGTTGAGTTTACTCTCTGAAAAATGGGGATGACATTAGTTATTTCATAAGATTTTAGTAAGGATTAAATGAGATAAAATAAGTGAAAATGCCTAGGTTTTTTTGCTCTGTCGCCCAGGCTGGAGTGCAGTGGTGTAATCCTCAACTCACTGCAACCTCCAACTCCTGGATTCAAGTGATTCTACCACCTCAGCCTCCCGAGTAGCTGCGATTACAGGCGCCCGCCACCATGCGCGACTAATTTTTTTATATTTTTAGCAGAGACGGGTCTTCGCTGTATTGGCCAGGCTGTTCTCAAACTCCTAACCCTCAGGTGATCCACCCACCTTGGCCTCCCAAAGTTCTGGAATTAAAGGGATGAGCCACCACACCTGGCTCAGAATTTTTTTATTATTATTATTATCTGAGACAGAGTCTCGCTTTGTGGCCCAGGCTGGAGTGCAGTGACACAATCTCGGCTCACTACAACCTCTGCCTCCCAGATTCAAGCAATTCTTCTGCCTCAGCCTCCTGGGTAGCTGGGACTGCAGGTGTGCACCTGCAGGTTTGCAGGCGTGGGCCTGGTTAATTTTTGTATTTTTAGTAGAGACAGGGTTTCACTATGTTGGCCAGGCTGGTCTCGAACACCTGACCTCAAGTTACCCGCCCGCCTCGGCCTTTCAAAGGCCTGGGATTACAGGCGTGAGTCACTGCGCCTGGCAAGATTTTTAAAAATGAAAGTTTCAATATGTGTTTTCATAGTGGACGCTGGGGATTGGAGAGTGGCTAAGAAGACTCCAAAGAGGTCCAGTTACAACTCAGTCACACATCAGATTCCCATGTCTCCTTCTGGATCATCCTGTAGTTTCTATAGCTGTTTTCTGTAATTCATGCAAATTCTCTGTAATCCTTCATTTCCGTTTTCTACCCACTTAGCTGTTGCCATTATTTTGAGGCATTGGATGTAAAAAACAAAACAAAACAAAAAAAAACCTGTTAGATTTATCTTGTAGGCTAAGGCTCAGAAATTGGGCAAGGTTCAGGTAGCTTTTCAGAAGGCGAGGCAGGTGTGCTTAGTTACACTATTCCAAGATTCTCCCAGAAATAGAACTCTAAAGTGAGGACTTGGGTGCCCTTGAAGGAGAACAACAAAATACCATTTTGGAAATAAAATTCTGCTGTCCTGGGTGTTCCAGCCCCTCCCATGCTGGCCTCCTTTCGGCACCATTCCTTTCTGCAGTCCCACCCCGCTTGGCCCTGGCACGCAGTCCCATGAACATGCCACCTGCCTTCTCTCTCTCTCTGGCCCCATCCATTGGCTGTTCAGTTTATTTTTTCCACATCCTCACCCTCTTCCAGCTCCAAGTTAAATAACCCTCACAGATGGCTTGTTCCATCAGAGCTGTTTAAGAACACAGAGCAGTGAACTAGTGCCCAGAGGAGCTGCCCCAGCCCAAGACTGCCCTTCCTATGGAGGCTCAAGACAACTGTGTCATCAGCTACCTAGAGGCCCAGAGACAGTGAGCAGAAAGGCTGGCAGGTTGGGTGGTAGAATGTCTGTTTAACACTATAATCCTCTAGCAGCTAACAACTAGTTCTCACTTAGATTTACAAGTCAGAACCAGGAGCCAGATACACTGCATACTCCATTTTCCATAGAAGACATAGTACTTCGTAGCTGGCATTTCTCCCCCACTTTTTTACAGCATGGAAACCCAACAGGAAATGACAGTCCCCATTTGTGTTTGGGATCATGGTTTCAGTCCTTAGTGAACCTCTTCATGAACTCCCGAGAGGTCTAGATCCCTGCCCTGCCTGACCCAAAGGGCAGGATTTCCAGCTGTCAGCACACCCATGGGAAGACAGGGAACTTCACATGCCTATTAGGAATCCTGCATAGAGTCTGGGCACAGTGGCTCACACCTATAATCCCAGCACTTTGGGAGGCCAAGGTGGGCAGATCACCTGAGGTCAGGAGTTCAAGACTAGCATGACCAACATGTCAGGCTAAAATACTAAACTACTAAGTACTGAAATACTAAACGTCTCTACTAAAAATACAAAACTCAGCCAGGCGTGGTGGCACATGCCTGTAATCCCAGCTACTTGGGAGACTGAGGCAGGAGAATTGCTAGAACCCGGGAGGCGGAGGTTGCAGTGAGCCGAGATCGCACAATTGCATTCCAGCCTGGGCGACAAACCGAGACTCTGTCTCAAAAAAAAAAAAAAAATTCCTGCCTAGAGAGAAGATCCCAGAATTTCTTTCACTCTTTCTTTCCTGTCAGCAGGGACACGGAGGTTTCCTGTCTGCCTTGTCATCAGCTTTGAAACATTTTCCTCCTGCATTCCCCCATATATGTAGTGGCCTGTAAGCTTTGCCCCCTTCATGTTCCCAGCATCCTCCTTCCCTCTCTCATAATCGGCTGGGTCTGGTTAATTTTGCCCTTGTGACAGGACAGCCTTTCCCTTGTCCTCGGAGTTATTCCTGTGGGACATAAGACCTCTCTGGTCATGGTCTCCCTCTCTTTCCCTTCCTTCTTGCCCTTTCCTCTCTAACTATAGCCTTTGTAAATAGACTCCTCTGAGGTCACCGAGGAATGGTAGTATGTGCCTTTGCTGCTATAGGACTCTCTTTTCCCCCAGTAAGCAGAGTTCCCTTGAGAGACCCCCCTCCCTTCCTTTATTAAAAGGCACGTTGGTGGCTTATCTGCTTGAACTCTGGCATAACAGGGCATGGAACAATGGCATGTGCAGAGTGCTTTGGCCAAAGGGAAATTAACTTTGAGCCAGAGACAGCAGTTTGAAGAAACTTCCCTTAGTAAGAAAAGAGACAAGAAGAAAAGTGATGGGGTGGAAAGGGAAAATTCTATGGCAGAGAAGGTCTCCCTGAGAACTCAATCAGAAATCAGTATCTCCTCCTTAAGCCTGGTTTTTCCACTGAGAAGTAAACTATTATTCTCTCTTCTCCTCCTTCATACCTTCTCCAAGATCAAGCGTTGCCAGATAAGTAACACACCCTGTTGCTTGCAAAGTAAAAGTTACTTGGATTGACAGATTTGTGGAGCCTTTGGGTGCCAAGTATCAGGAGGGAGCTTTGATTTCCATTTTCCTGTCTTCATGATGGACTTTACTCTTTACATTCAGTAGAAAAGTTCAAGGCTGTGGTGCAGACAACTTTCAGAGGTTACCCACATATAGGTCTTAAAACTTAACATCTGGCAGTTACTAGTTTCCTATATTCATTCAGCTCATCAAGTATTCAGCTGAGGTTTTGCCCATATTATGTCCAGTGAAATGAAATGAATCTAAGTGATAGAACTCTTTTTAGGGCAGGTATCCTGAGAAATTTTAAATTTCAGTATTTCTTTTCTTGCCTGTAGCTTAGCCAAGCACCCATTCAATTTGTGTTCCTCTAAAGGCAAATTCGTCAGAACTGTTTCTTCTGTCCTGAGGGCCTTTAGGCTACTGCTGAGTCTGGGCAAGTGTTATTTATTTATTTATTTATTTATTTTTGAGACAGAGTTTTGCTCTTGTTGCTCAGGCTGGAGTGCAGTGGCGCGGTCTTGGCTCACTGCACTCTCCGCCTCCCAAGTTCAAGCAATTCTGCCTTAGCCTCCCAGGTAGCTGGGATTACAGGCACCTGCCACCACGCCCGGCTAATTTTTGTATTTTTAGTAGAGATTGGGTTTCACCATGTTGGCCAGGCTGGTCTCAAACTCCTGACCTCAGGTGATCCACCCACCTTGGCCTCCCAAAGTGCTGGGATTACAGGTGTGAGCCACCACGCCCGGCTGAGTGTAATATTTTTTAAGTGAGAAAGACTTGAAGTAGGCTGAGTGCAGTGGCTCACGCCTGTAATCCCAGCACTTTGGGAGGTCGAGGCGGGAGGATTGCTTGAGTCCAGGAGTTTGAGAGCAGCCTGGGTAACATGGTGAGACCCCATCTCTACAAAAAAAAAAAAAAAAAAAAAAAATTAGCTGGGTGTGGTGGTGCATACCTGTAGTCCTAGATGTTCAGGAGGCTGAAGTGGGAGGATCACTTGAACCTGGGAGGTTGAGGCTGCAGTGAGCCAAGATCACACCATTGCACTCAGCCTGGGCAACAGAGTGTGACCTTGTCTCCCAAAAAAAAAGATGACTTGAAGTAGAGACCTTTCCCTATACTCTTTGTGAAAGTGCCATTACCTTCATAAGAGGCCATATTATAATATAATGAACTGAGCACAAACTTTGGAGTAAGACAAATCTGGGTTCAAAGCCCAGCTTCATCACTTCATCACTTGCTTTTTCTGAGCTTTAGTTTCCTCTTCCTGTCTCACAGGATTACCATGATAATCAAATGAAATAACATAATTCCTAGTAACCATCTGTCACCACTTCATCTACACCACAGCTTTCCCAGTAAAATGGGATATTTAGGCCACCAAGAAAGCGTGATCAATGAAAATTGCAGAGGAAGTAAGATGCTAACTTGCTCTACCTGCCACTACCCTGAACCTTTTTTTTTTTCAACCCCCTTAACCTCTTTAAAGAGCTTCTGGCATGCTCATGGGTTTTTCTTTCTAGAACTTTCCCTGCCCTGAATTTGTTCAGTATGCATTGTCACTTGTGAGGACTTCTTTTCACAATAAATACCCAAGTGCTTTAGAATGTCTGGATGGTGGCCAGGCACAGTGGCTCAAGCTTGTAATCCCAGCAATTTGGGAAGCTGAGGCAGACGGAACCCTTGAAATCAGGAATTCGTGACCTGCCTGGCCAACATGGTGAAACCCTGTCTGTACTAAAAATACAAAAATTAGCCAGGTGTGGCCGGGCGCGGTGGCTCACGCCTGTAATCCCAGCACTTTGGGAGGCCGAGGTGGGCGGATCACGAGGTCAGGAGATCAAGACCATCCTGGCTAACATGGTGAAACCCCGTCTCTACTAAAAATACAAAAAATTAGCCGGGCGAGGTGGTGGGCGCCTGTAGTCCCAGCTACTCGGGAGGCTGAGGCAGGAGAATGACTTGAACCTGGGAAGCAGAGGTTGCAGTGAGCTGAGATCGTGCCATTACACTCCTGCCTGGGCTACAGAACAAGATTCCAACTGAAAAAAAAAAAAAAAGAATGTGTTGATGGTGATTCTCCTGGAAGTCAAGCCTGCTTTCTCTGTGCCATCACAGAGGTGTTGCTGGCAGACTAATCTTGAGACGACTTCTTACCTCTTTGCACCAAGGCTCTTATTAAGGGGTCTTTCCTGACTTTAGATCCGGTGATGAGTTAGCCCAAAAGAGTGTGCTCAGTCTCCTATAGGGCTCACAGGTTTGGCTTATACCCTCCAAGTGGCCCAATGGGAGCTACAGGGTGTTGGAGGTGGTCATGGGAAAGAAACAGCTCACAAGAAGAGCGTGGGGCGAGAGCCAGCCGTTCCCCACTGCCTGCTGGAGCAAGCTCAGTGAGGCCGCTGACAAGAGTCCTCAGAACACTAAACAGGTGATTAAAACATCAGTATAAGTCTTTCCAAGCTTCACAGAAAGCCAAAAACTTAGTTTGGACAGCAACAGAAATTTTCCGCTCTGTAGCTTTATAAACTGGTCCGCTGTTTCTTCCTCTGCTCTGTGGCCAGAGGGGAGCTCTGTGCTAATGATTCCATAAAACCCTCCAAGTCTTCCTGAGTGGCTTATCATATGAGAGTAACCTATACCACCCTTTTCCATCAGAGTAATCTCTAGCCTCTCACTGTTAGTTCGCATTCTGAATCTTTAACCCTTCCAAAAAGGCCAAGCCCAGCTCTTGGCACTGTCCCCTATGACAGAGCTGAGCTCCTCCATCAAGCTCAGTGGCAGAACGATCCTTTCCTCCTTTCCAAGATGACTGCCCAGAATCACAGAAACCTGTAAGAATGGAAAGAGAGTAATCCCAATTCTGGGCATTCACCCAAAAGATTTGAAATCAGTTGGTTGAAGAGATGTCTGGACTCCCAGGTTCACTGCAGCATTAGTCACAATAACCAAGTTATGGAATTAGTCTGAGTGTCCATCAACAGATGAATGGATAAAGAAAAGGTGGGACATACACACAATGGAGTACTATTTGGCCTTTAAAAAGAAATTCTGTTGTTTTCAGCAACATGGGTGGAATTGAAGAGCATTATGCTGAGTGAAATAAGCCAGGCACGGAAAGACACATACCATATGTTCTCACTTACATGTAGAATCTGAAAGAGTCCAGCTCATAAAAGCAGAGAGTAGGATGGTGGCTACAGAGGCTGGGAAATGGGGAGATGATGGTCAAAGGGTTCAAAGCGTCAGTTCCATGGGAGAAAGATGGGTGTGTGTTTTTCTGAGATCTGTTGAACAGCATGGTGAGCATAAAAATACAGCACTGTACATTTAAAATTGCTTTAAGAGGTCAGACGTGGTCACTCACAACTGTAATCCCAACATTTTGCGAGGCTGAGGCAGGATGATCACTTGACACCAGGAGCTCAAACCAGCCTGGGCAACATAGTGAGACCTCATCTCTAAAAAAAAAAAAAAAAAAAAAAAAAATGAAATTAGCAGGATGTGGTGGTCCACGCCTGTAGTCCCAGCTACTTGGGAGGCTGAGGCGGGAAGATCACTTGAGCCTGGGAAGTGAAGACTGCAGTGAGTCTTGATCACACCACTGCACTCCAGCCTGGGTGACAGAGCAAGACCCTGTCTAAAAGAAAAAAAAATTCCTTTAAGAGTAAATTTCAAATTTTCTCACCACAATAAAATGATAAGTATTTGAGGTGATGGGTATGTTAATTAGCTGGGTTTAATTATTATACATTGTATTCATAAAATATATCACTTTGTACCCTTGTAAATAAACACAAATATAAATTGTCAATTTATAATAAAATTTTGTAAAGGACTAGGAATATAGATCTTCAGAGTTATTAGCATCTTGCAGACAGGGCTCAGTAATTTGCCTGAGAGCACACAAGTTAGGAGGCCACGACACTGTCGTTCCACTAGGCCCTGCTTGTCCTAGACTGTGGCGTGTCACCCACCCAGGAGGAGTGCACCATGCCCAGAAGAGTTCAGTCTTCAAGAAATCAGCTCTGAGAGGCTGCCTTTTTCTCTTCTTCTGTGAATTTCCAGGCAAGAGAAGAGCTTTCTCCTTGGGGAGATGGTGAGGGTCTCTGAAACACCTGTGAATGTTCTGGATCATGGAGAGCTGTGGCAGTTAGAACAGTCCGGCCCCTGCAGTTACTGGCTGCATTTCCTGAGCAAGTTACTTCTCTGTGCCTTAATTTCCTCACCTCTATAATCGAAGCAGTGACAGTATCTACTTCATGAGGTTGTGGGGATCACGAGTTGGTTCGTGTAAAGCATTTGGCACAGTGCCTGGCTTGTAGTAACCATTCGCTCGGTGTTCGCTGTGGCTGCGAAGGGTGAGTGAGGCATGCAGCAGGTTTTATTACGTCCCGGAAGGCCGATGGCACTCTTCCAGGAAGGTAGCGCTGGTGAGCTGGTAAACCTTGAATGAGGAAGTCATTTTATCTGGCTTTGGATCTTAGTTCTCCTGAGAATGTCATTGAATTTATTTGAATTTTAGTTTCCTCATCTACATCATCTGGATGTAGTAACTGCATCAAAGAGTGCAGAGGATTTCTAGATCCTAAAAGTATCATGAAAAATATAAAGTAGGTTGGGTGCAGTGGCTCACGGCTGTAACCCCAACACTTTGGGAGGCCAAAGCAGAAGGACTGCTTGAGACCAGGAGTTCAAGACCAGTCCTGGCAGCATAGCGAGGCCCCATCTCTACAAAAATAAAAATTCAAAAATTAGCTGGGCATGGTGATGCATGACTGTCGTCCCAGCCACTTGGGAGGCTGAGGCAGGAGGATTACTTGAGTCCAGGAGTTCAAGGTTGCAGTGAGCTTTGATCACGCCACTGTACTCCAGCCTGGGTGACAGAGCAAGACCCTGTCTCAAAAAATATATAGATAGTAGTAGTGTTTGCACCTTTGAAAAATAGAGTTGCATTTTGAAGAGTCTAGTAAAATTGTGACCACTTTGACCTAACCTTCCATCCTTTAAAGCAGTAATTCTAAAACTCAGTGTTCATAAGTACCTGGAACACTTACACACATTCTGGCCAGGTGCTGTGGCCCACACCTGTAATCCCAGCACTTTGGGAGGCTGAAGCAGGGGGATCTCTTGAGCCTAGGAGTTCAAGACCAGCCTGTGCAATACATTCTGGCCAGGTGCTGTGGCTCACACCTGTAATCCTAGCACTTTGGGAAGCTGAAGCAGGGGGATCTCTTGAGCCTGGGAGTTCAAGACCAGCCTGTTCAATATCGCGAGACCCCATCTCTACAAAACATTTTTTAAAAATTAGCTGGATGTGATGGTGTGCGCCTGTATTCCCAGCTACTCGATAGGTTGAGACTGCAGTGAGCCGTGTTTACACCACAGCACTCCAGCCTAGGTGAGAGAGCAAAACCCTGTCTCATAGAATAAAATGTTTAAAAGTACACATTCTAAGGTCCTATCTCAAGAAATACTAATTCATTGAATTCAAAGTGGAATCCATAGCCAAGGAGTAGTGTTAGGTAAAAAGAAAACAAACAAAGTCGGGCACCAGTGGCTTATGCCTATAATCCCAGCACTTTGGTAGGTGAAGGAGGGCAGATCACTTGAGGCCAGGAGTTCAAGCCCAGACTGGCCAATGTGGTGAAAACCCATCTCTAAAAAAAATACAAAGATTAGGCCAGGGACGGTGGCTCACTCCTGTACTTGAACACTTTGGAAGGCCGAGGCGGGCGAGTCATTTGAGGCCAGGAGTTTGAGACTAGCCTGGCCAACATGGCAAAACCTCATCTCTACAAAAAATACAAAAACTAGCTGGGTATGGTGGCACTTGCCTGTAATCCCTGTTGCCCAGGAGGCTGAGGCAGAAGAATTGCTTAGATCTGGGAGGTGGAGATTTCAGTGAGCCAAGATTGTGCCACTGCACGCCAGCCTGGGCAACAAAGCAAGACACTGTCTCGAAAAAAAAAAAAAAAAAGATAAAAATTACCTGGGCATGGTGGCAGGCACCTGTAGTCCCAGCTACTCAGGAGGCTGAGATGGAAGGATCACTTGAGCCCAGAAGGCAGAGGTTGCAGTGAGCGGAAATCTCACCACTGCACTCCAGCCTGGGCGACAGAGTGAGACCCAGTCTCCAGAAAAAAAGTGGAGTTCGGGAATCTGCATTTTTAATAAGCTCAGCGTGTGATTGTGATACAGTTGGTTTTGAAAAAATGCCTTTTCATGTTCAGATGTGAAGAAGGGAGAACTGACACTGATTGAGCTGGTTCTGTATGGCAGCCATTTGCTGACTTACACGTTATCCCGAGCTATGGATAGGCTAGTTCGTTTTCGTTAACAAAGCTTCTCTTGTCTCCAACTATGAGGCATGGGTCATGTTTGTGATTCAGGACTCCAGAAACATAGAACCTGAAAATGCAACTTAAAATGGCTTTCTACCTCAGCCCAAATCTCAGAGAATGTCTGCATACTACATTTTTTAATATGCTGTGGGGGTTCTTCAGATGTGGATGTAATTTTTTTTTTTCAAAGCATGACATCAGTGCTTTGAAGATCATTAAATGTCACTTCTTAGGAGGTACATTTTACCTTGACCTGGTACAACAGCCTCCATGGAGTTAAGACCTGCCCAGAGCGTGGCTTCTTCTGGTATCTGGTTTCACATGAGAAACTGGAGGCAGCCTGTCAAAGAGGAGTCCCTATTCCTTATTGAGTCCAAACCCCCATGAGGAGCACCCCCCAAACAGAAGGTAGCATCTCCGAGTGTGTCCAGGTGTCTGTGTTGCACAGCTTCGGGGAGCATGATTGACACAGTATAGGCAGTATGGCCGCACCACCTCCGTGATGTCCTCTGGGATTGTCCTGAGGCTGCCATCTGACCCCCACGATCACTCATCCACATTGTTCAGGTATCCATAGTGCATGTTAAATACTGCAGATAGATTTTATTTTAAGCACACACACAAACACACACACTAGTGCCTCCCCTCAAGAATCTTACTTAGGAGAAAAAAACACGACAGATTAATGGGAGAAAGATATTAAGAATTGTAAATAAAACCAACTGATAAAATTCATGTAACATGGCCAGGCACGGTGGCTCACGCCTGTAATTCCAGCCCTTTGGGAGGCTGAGGCGGGTGGATCACCTGAGGTCAGGAGTTTGAGACCAGCCTGACCAACATGGGGAAGCTCCGTCTCTATTAAAAATACAAAAATTAGTTGGACATGGTGGCGGGTGCCTGTAATCCCAGCTACTCGGGAGGCTGAGGCAGGAGAATCACTTGAACACAGGAGGCAGAGGTTTCAGTGAGCCGAGATCACGCCATTGCACTCCAGCCTGGGCAACAAGACCGAGACTGTCTCAACAACAACAACAACAAAAAGTATGTAACATAAACCTGAGAAGGGAATGCATTCTTAGATGAAAAATTTAGGATCCAAAGAGAACTTAATAGGTTGCAATGGGGAGAAGTAAATGACAAGATGAAATCAGAAAAGAAAGAATGTAAAACCCTACCCTGGTCCAAAAAGTCAGCCACACTTAGCATGTAGCATGCAGCACAATGGTAAATAATCGGATTTCTTCAGGCATGGGGAGAAGACCTTGGTGAAGGAAAAGATGTGAAAGGGAATAGTTGGTGGAGGGCTTGTACTCCATAAAGGGAGATAGGATTTAGCAACATATGTGAAAACAATTTGGGGATTTGTTGATTAGAAGCTCACAATTGGCAGGGCACAGTGGCTCACACCTGTAGTCCGAACACTTTGGGGGGCTGAGGCAGGAGGATTCCTTAAACTTGAACTGGAGTTCAAGACCAACTGGGGCAATATGGTGAAACCCCGTCTCTACAGAACACACAGCCAGGTGTGGTGGCACGTGCTTGTAGTCCCAGCTCCTGAGGAAGTTGAGGCGGAAGGATCACCTGAGTCTGAGAAGTCAAGGCTGCAGTGAACCATGATCTCGTCACTGTACTCCAGCCTGAGGGACAGAGCAAGACCCTGTCCCCCGCCCCCCAAGAAAAGGAAAAAAGAAGCTCACAGTTTATCAGTAGTGCAAGGTGGGGACAACAACAGTAATGCTGTTAAGTCTATTATTAAAATTGAGTATCCCCGATAGAAATGGGAGGGAATGGTCTACTCTCTGCTCTGCTACCAGGTCACGTGGGCACTCACTGTGGGAGACACTTTAGTCTTAGTGAAAGTCTTAGTGAAAGAATAAGCAGGATGTTTAGGAGACAGTTGGAGTGAGGCACAGTTGAAGGAAGTGGGACTGTTTAGCCTAGAGAAGGTGTATAACACAGCAGACCTCATAATTTGAGGCCAGTCAGATAAAAGCAGAATTTGAGTTTGTTTTCTTTTGTTTTTTGTTTTTTTACATGGCCCCAGAGAACCGAATTAGAAGCATTGGGAGGCAGATCTGGGTTTAAAAGGTGTAAACATTTCTAGCAATTAGAAAAGTCCAAAAATAGAATGGCCTTCTGGTAGGAAATATGCCCCCTTACAGATTCAACACAGTAACACACCTCATACAGAATGGTCAGGAAAAAAGTCTGTTAGTGTAGACAATAAAAATGATTGGCTGGACGTGGTGACTCATGCCTATCATCCCAGCACTTTGGGAGGCGGAGGCAAGCAGATTGCTTGAGGCCAAGAGTTCAAGACCAGCCATGCCAACATGGTGAAACCCTGAAATTAGCAGGTGTGGTGGCTCGCACCTGTGGTCCCAGCTATCTGGGAGGCTGAGGTGGGAGGATCACCTAAGCCCAGGAAGTCGAGGCTGTAGTGAGCCGTGATTGTGCCACTGCACACCAGCCTGGGTGGACAGAGAGAGACCCTGTCTAAAAAAAAAAAAGAAAAGAAAAGAAAAATTATATATTTCTTCAATGTTAAGTAATGATTGATTTTAAAAACTACTCCAGGGCCTTGAGTCCTCTCCACCAGAAGTAGTCAAGAAAGACTTGGATCACTGAGGGGTATTTAGAGGAGGTTCTCTTGTGGCTCTGAGTGATTGTTAAGGTCTCTTCCAACCAAAGGACAAAAGAATTCACTTTGTGACGTACAAGTAGTGCAGATGTTGAGGGCTGCTAATGGAGTCAGAGAAGATGAATGAAGTGTAGGCCTAGTCCATAGTTGCTGGAGGGATACCTGTGTACTTGGGAGAGGTTAGTGTGAGGTTCCTGTGGAGTCCTTTGCTGGACTGAAGGTCATGTGAAGTCAAGGACTGCATCTGTCTTGTCTTGTCTTGTCTTGTCTTGTGTGCCCAGGATGTCTAGCAGTCCCTGTCACATAGTAGGGCGTTACGAAAGATTTGTGGAAGGTAGGCTGGCAGACTGGACAAAGGCTAACTGGCGTCTTGAAGGACTTATAGGCTGGGATGGGCGGCTCACACCTGCAACTCCAGCACTTTGGGAGGCCAATACAGGAGGATCACTTAAAGCTATGAGTTTGAGATCAGCTAGGGGACATAGTAAGACCTTGTCTCTACAAAAAAAAAATTAGCCATTAGCCAGGCGCAGTGGCTCACGCCTGTAATCCCAGCACTTTGGGAGGCCAAGGCAGGTGGATCACCTGAGGTCAGGAGTTCGAGGCCATCCTGGCCAACATGGTGAAACCACATCTCTATTAAAAATATGAAAATTAGCCGGGCATGGTGGCGTGCACCTGTGAATCCCAGCTACTCAGGAGGCTGAGGCACGAGAATCACTTGAACCCAGGTTCAAGACGAAGGTTGCAGTGAGCCGAGATCGCGCCACTGCACTCCAGCCTGGGCGATACAGTGAGACTCTGTCTCAATAAATAATTATTTGCCAGACATAAGTGGTGTGCCTCTGTGGTCCCAGCTACTCTGGAGGCTGAGGTGGGAGGATTGCTTGAGCCCAGTTATTTGAGGCAGCAGTGAGCCTTGATTGCTAACAGAGCAAGACTCTGTTTCAAAAAAAAGAGAAAAAAGAAAAAGACCTTACCAAGCTTAAAAGACGATGAGGGAATGAATTGATTGCTTAAATGTAAAATAACTGCAGGTTGGGGGAGTAATATGTGAACTTTCAGAGGTGCCAGGGGAAGCAGACAGCCTGCAGGGTATAGCAAAGGGGGTTGCCTGGGGCTTGAAGTTCCGGATTAGGGAATAATAGCCACAAGTGCCAGTAGTGATCTTTGGGGGGAGGGGTGGGTGGGCGAGGGTTTGCAAGGAGCTTGGGATTTCATTTGATAGCAAGGCTAAGCCCAAAAGAATTTTCCATCCCGACTTCCTCGGGACCCATCCGCCTGAAAGGAATGAAGGAGCAGTGTCCTGGGTCTCTGCAAGGAGCTTTTCTTCTCCCTTGGGCTGAGAATTCTGCCTTCCTGAGTACCGCAGGTCATGGCAGCCGGGGAGGGGCGCGTGCTCTCTTGATGCAGGGGGTCTGTTGATGTATCTGGTATGAATGTGACCCACGCCACCCAACCCCCCAAGTGAAACAGGGATTTTCCTTTGTTCTGTGATGAGTCCCCAGGGTCTGGAGGACAGTGCCTCACACACACAGTAGGCACTTACATGTTGCTGAACTGCATGTTGCCTAAGTGTGTTGAAGACTACAGATGTCTCCGAGAGTCCACTCTTGTGCCACGCGTAGAATAAATACAATTAGGAGCAAATTTGGTAAAGGAGCCTAAACACAAACCTAAGGGGAGGCCTCCTGGACGTGGCTGTCTAGAAGGCAAACAGTGTGGTTCAGAGTGACTAGAGCCCAAGGTTCAGTGCTTCTGGCCCAGAGCTAACTGGCAGTGTAGAAACAGACTGTGTGTGGATATTTGCAGACTGAGACAGACGGGAGGACTTTCATCCCCAGGGGCTGAGCCTGCAGCCTCCCCTGCTGGTTCAGTAAGTGAGGGCCCCAGCGCCTGTGTTCCAGGTTTCAGATCAGCTGAAGCCAGCCAGACCTGAAAGGCTTGTGTTGGCAGTGCCAATATCCGTCCTTAACCCCTGCCAATGTGGGTGGCTGCTCTAAGAGCACTCTGCAGGGGAAGCAGAATTGGACT
Organism: Homo sapiens; assembly: GCF_000001405.40. NCBI lineage: Eukaryota > Metazoa > Chordata > Mammalia > Primates > Hominidae > Homo > Homo sapiens. Next base: position 2,094,995 of record NC_000017.11, on the reverse strand, counting down.
GAAGCCCGAGCTACTGCTGCCTATAGCTTGCTCTCTGTGACGCTTTTGCCGCTGAGAATGTACCTTTCTGGTACAGCCGGAGCCGAGAGCTCTAGAAAAGAATAGTTTCTGTCCATGAAGGAACAGTTCAAGAAGAGCAAGCTTACTCTGCCCATGGAAGACCAGACTCCTATCTGGCTTTGTTTGGAACATCTAAGCTCAGGAAATTCAGGTGGGTAGAAAATACCATATTGGGGATCTTCTCATCACTACTTTCATATTGGGAGACATGAGGCAAGGATCCAGCTGGGTCTTATTTAAGAAAGATACCAGGCTGGACACGGTGGCTAACACCTATAATCCCAGCACTTTGGGAGGCTAAGGCAGTGGGATTCCTTGAGGCCAGGAGTTCGGAGTAGCCAAGAGCAGCCCGGGCAACAAAGCAAGACCCCATCTTAGAATAAAATAAGATACTGTTGGCCAAGCAAAGTGGCTCACGCCTGTAATCCCAGCACTTTGGGAGGCCGAGACAGGTGGATCACTTGAGGTAAGGAATTAGAGACCAGCCTGGCCAATATGGTGAAACCCCATCCCTACTAAATATACAAAACTTAGCTGGGTGTGGTGGCACGTGCCTGTAGCCCCAGCTACTTAGGAAGAATCTCTTGAACCCAAGAGGTGGAGGTTGCAGTGAGCTGATATCTCGCCACTGCACCGCAGCCTGGGGTGACAGAGCCAGACTCCATCTCAGAAAAAAAGAAAGAAAGTTACGTTGCAGGGTTTGCAGGGCCTCCTCAAACCCTCAACGATCCCACTAGCAAAGGCAGAGCCACCGCCCGTACCCCACTGTGAAGGGACCTCATGGACAAGGCAATTGTGACTGTATTTCTGATACATTTATTAGTGGCCCGCTTGTTCCGAAGCCCGGGACCTTGGAGCCTCTCTAGATTACTGGAGTAATGCATGCATACCTATGGTTAGGTCCGGAGTCTTTCTGAAGAATAGGGAGAGGGATTGCTGAAGAGAGGCAAGGTCTTTCCTCCCCTGCTTGGCCAGCCCAGTAGCCTGGATCTAGCACCTTAGTTCTGAATAAAATATTTCAGGCCCTGAGTGGTGGCTCGTGCCTGTAATCCCAGTGCTTTGGGAGGCCAAGGTGGGAGGATCACTTGAGGCCAGGAGTTTGAGACCAACAATATAGCAAGACCTCATCTTTACAAAACAATTTTTAAAAATTAGCCAGCTTCCCGCTTGAGCTCAAGAGACTGAGCCTGCTGCAAGCCATGATGACGCCACTGCAAACTCCAGCCTGGACAAATTTAAAAAAAATTTTTTTTGCAGCTTCAACAGCCAGGTAAGCATTCCAGGGCCTCTCCCCTTGGCCCTAGGCTATGTGCCAGCCCCATGCTTCCCACCTTGCCTCTCAGACTGGCTTCCAAACAGCTCAGCCATGTTAGGCAGTGCCCCTCCCACCTCTGAAGAGAGTGGAGATAAGAGGAAAAAAAAATGCCAGCTGCTCAATTATCGAGCACCTACTGGGCCCAGGCATCTCGCTAAGTATTTGATATGTATTCCCTCTGTCTTTTTTTTTCTTTTTGAGTCACGATATCACTCTGTCACCCTGGCTAGAGTGCAGTGGCGTGCTCATGGCTCACTGCAGCTCTGACTTCCCCGGCTCAAGCAATCCTCCTACCTCAGCCTCCTAGTTAGCTCGGACCATAGGTGTGTTGCACCACCATGCCCAGCTTTTTTGTTTGTTTGTTTGTTTTTGACAGACACAGTCTCACTATGTTGCCCAGGCTTGTCTTATCTTTTTTTTTTTTTTTGCAACAGAGTCTTGCTCTGTCACCCAGGCTGGATTGCAATAGAACGATCTGAGCTCACTGTAACCTCCACTTCCTGGGTTCAATAGATTCTCCTGCCTCAGCCTCTTGAGTAGCTGGAATTACAGGAGCCCGCTACTAACCCAGCTAATTTTTGTATTTTTAGTAGAGATGGGGTTTCACCATGTTGGCCGGGCTGATCTCGGACTCCTGACCGCAGGTGATCCACTGCCTCAGCCTCCCCAAGTGCTGCGATTACAGGCATGAGCCACTGCACCCGGCCTGTATTATCTTTTAAACCTCACAAACAACTTGAGCAAACAAAGGCTCAGAGAGGTTAAGTAACTTGTCTAAGGATAAACAGCCAGGAAGTGGCAGTTAGTACTTGAACTCACGTCTGTGTAACTATGAAGCCCAGGCTCTTGTCCAACCTCCTGTATTGCCTTGTCTTGCCTCTTGCCAGAATGGCCCTGTTTTTTATACTTTATTTACCTCATTACTTCCTGTGTGTGCTTCACAACTCCCCTGTTCCCCTGGTTCTCCCTTCAGTGTGAACATCGTCTCCTTCCTAGTAGCCAAATATACGTGTACCTTTTGGGATCTTCAGTAACCCTGTCTTGGGATAGTCTCCCCACCAGCACCAGGTCTTGCCATCTGACCATTTGCCAGTTCCCACCTCCCCTTCTCTAAGAGACTTCAGCACACACCTGGTGGTTACAGGTGGGGACAGCAGGCATCTGTGCAATGCTGGCTGATTGATAATGGCCCTCATTGCCTCCTCTAAGAAGAAAACACAGCTGTTGGGACCAGACACATGGAATGGTGTGGTTGCTGTGGGTGGACCAATGATGTTAGCATTTCATCTTGTGACCCAATGACCCTTCAGCTAGCACAGGCCAACCATAGGACTACGGAGGGTTGGATCTGGACACCGGGATTAGAAATGACTGAGAAAGGCCGGGCGCGGTGGATCACTTGAGGTCAGGCGTTCGAGACCAGCCTGGCCAACATGGCGAAACCCCGTCTCTACTGAAAATACATAAATTAGCCAGGCATGGTAGTGCGCACCTGTAATCCCAGCTACTCAGGAGGCTGAGGCAGGAGAATCGCTTCAACCCGGGAGGCGGAGGTTGCAGTGAGCTGAGATCATGCCAGTGCAACTCCAGCTTGGGTGACTGAGCAAGACTCTGTCTCAAAAAAAAAAAAAGAAAAAGGGGCCAGGCGCAGTGGCTCACGCCTGTAATCCCAGCACTTTGGTTGGCCAAGGCGGGCGGATCACGAGGTCAGGAGATCAAGACCGTCCTGGCTAACACGGTGAAACCTCGTCTCTACTAAAAAAAAACACACACACACACAAAATTAGCTGGGCGTGGTGGCGGGTGCCTGTAGTCCCAGCTACTCGGGAGGCTGAGGTAGGAGAATGGCGTGAACGCGGGAGGCAGAGCTTGCAGTGAGCCGAGATCGCACCACTGCACTCCAGCCTGGGCAACAGAGCGAGACTCTCTCTCAAAAAAAAAAAAAAAGCAAAAAGACTGAGAAAGTAGCCTGTACTTAACGCTTTACATAGAAAGAGGCCCAGCTATAGCAGGGGTAGGGAAAGAGTGAAATACTGTTTGAATTGATCCCTTGGACAGTATGCTCCGAGGTTGTCAGGAGATGCATCTGGTCCAAGGATGTGTGCTTTTTCTCACTCTGTCCCCCTTATCATTCAGCCCCTGCACAGGTTCTTTCTTTCCCTCCTCTCTGACCCATGAGCCTCTTTCTCAATTTCATACCAACTTCTTCTGACTCAAGTAGGCTGTGAATGTCTGTCTCCCCATCCTAAGCTACTGCCTGTGTCTTCAGACTGACTGTGCATCCTTGTGGCCAGTTTCGCTCCTGCCTTCTGGAGTCTGCTTCCTGCCAGGAGGCCCCTCCCCCTAGGAATGTGAATAAACCATTTCCTCTGTCCTCCCAGCTCCAGAGGATTCCCTGTGTGGTATTTTTTATTTCTTGTGTCTGAACTTCCATTGGCAGACCCCTTCGTAGGCTGGCCCACCCTTGGCTGCTACAGAATTGAGCTTCCCACCCTTCAGTTTCCTCTGAGGGTGAGTAGTGCATAACTAGAGGTTCCCAGTTTGTGAAAACACATTAGTCTGAGTTAAATTTCTTGTGGCCAATCCTGGAGGTTTGGCTCATTAAAGATGATAATTAACCCATTGCTAATTGACCTCAGAAGCCAGCCAAGCAGCCTGTATTTTACCAGCCTTGGTGTTGGATTTGTAGGCTATTTTAAGGTTTCTTAATAATCTCAGAAAGACTTCATGTTCCTGTCTGCATCTTATTTGCTCTAAGGACATTCTGTAAAATTAACAAGCTATAAAGTTTGATTGAAGGTTTCAACAAATGTGAGAATAATTGGCTCCATTTAGAGAAACAAGAAAAACAACCTGTAAACTTGAGTTTGTGGGGGGAAACCCGTGTGATTGTTCTCTTTAACCAGAGGAGCAGTAGCAAGCTGGACTGTTAAGACTAGAAAAAAGAACTGGCTGATAGTACAAGTTTAAACTCCGATTTCTCCAAACCAAAAATTCAGAAAAAGAAATTTTGCAAAATGACTAGTAACCATGGTTGTGCCTTCCAAGAAGCCTGTTTGGAGAAAACGGGGACCAGGTAACGATAGAGCGAGTCCCTCACTCCCTAGAGCTTGCATCCAGGGTCCTGGCTCTCCAGCCCTTCCTCATATTCCCTGGCTAGATTTGGAGGTTTTCTCCCTTCCCCGGGGCTGCCCTGAGGTGTTAAGTCTTGCAACTCAGAGCACATGAGTATGTGATACCTGGTGCTTAGTTCCCGTTCTCTCTTACCCTCCCTACCTTCATAAAGCAGCATATAGCTCGTTTTCTCTCCCCAACCCCCCTCCCCCGCCGGGCATCTCTACCCACACTGTGCTTGTTCCCTACCGAGTGGCTGTGAAGAGTCACCAGTTTTCAGAGAACACCATTTTTTCTTCTTTCCTTTTTTTTTTTTTTTTTTTTGAGACAGAGTCTCGCCTTGTTGCCTGGGCTGGAGTGCGGTGGTGCAATCTCGGCTCACTGCAACCTCCACCTCCCAGATTCAAGCGATTCTCCTGCCTCAGCCTCCCTAGTAGCTGGGACTACCACATGTACTACCACACCCGGCTGATTTTTGTATTTTTAGTAGAGATGGGGTTTCACCATGTTGTCCAGGCTGGTCTTGAACTCCTGACCTCAGGTGATCTGCCCACCTTGGCCTCCCAAAGTGCTGACATGACATTCGTGAGCTACCGTGCCCAGTCAAGAAACACCATTTTTCTTTACTTCTCCACCTCTCCACCTTAAATACCCCAGAACAGTAACCCAGTCTACTCTCTTGACCTAGAGGTTTTCTCCTTTGTTCCTCGCTCCCCTTGGCTCCAGCCCCTACTTACCCGATGCTTACATTATCTCTCTCTAAGGAACTGAGCCTAGGAGAGAACAGCCTCCGGTATCGCCTCTCCACATCTCACTTTCAGTTTTCCTTTCTGCTTGGTTCTTTGCGTGTGGACTTGATTAGAGTGATAACTGGAGCCCTAAAGCTAAAGGTTTCAGTTCCTGCTGCAGTGGTAAGCTGCCTCCGACAATCTTCAGGGGAAGGGAAAGGGGCTTTCTTTCAGCTCTTCCCTGACCTAAAGCCCCAGTTTTCTTTCCCAAGCTGATTGAAATGATTTGTATGTGATATTTTGTCAATTAACTTGGGAATTCTTGACAATCGCCTACACAGTGCATCTCCCTCCAGAAGGGTCAGGACTGTGACTGAGAAGGTACACCGCAGAGGAGAGGTCCGTAGGCTCCCCAGGGTGTTCCCTGGCTGGCGGCCCTTTTAGTCGCCTCTATCCCCAGTCCAGCCCCACGTGCTAATGTAGCCCAGGAAGGGAGCCTCTCCCGCCCAGCTCTTTCTCCTCTGGAGGATCCAGAGTTTGCCCCCAGAGCTGCGATATACATGCCACTTACATTCTCTGGTTTTCATTGATATAGAGTGGAAAAATGTGCTCACGAGCAGAGTTAACTGTGGGGATGATGTCACAGACTTCATCTGGAGTCCTTCCTCTCCAAGCAGGGAGTCCAGCTTTAACCCCTCTCCTACCAGGAAGTCCTCCTAGACCAAGCAAAGATCATCTTGGAATTGGCTTTTTGTCAGTGGTTTGAAAGGCTTCTTTCATTATGAAGTCTCTTATTAACTGTATTTAAACTGTCTTGTGTTGCTTTTTCCCTGACTCAAGTGCTGGAGGCTTTGTCTAGGAGAATATTCCCGTAAGTCTCCTACAGAACTCCAGCATCAAGAGAGCGGTGGTCCTCTCCCCAGTGGGCTTATTCCCCCCAAGTTAAGACAGAATGCTTTTGCAGACAGGCCAGTGAGCTACAGACAGAAGGTTTCTCTGTGCCTCTGGGCAAGCCCTGGACATTCTGCCTCTCAGTTTCTCCATCTACTAAAGAGCTCAGACTGTGCACTTCTCACTCCCACAGTACACTTTACACAGCTTTGACCATCCTCCCTGCTGCTTGGATTGCAAAGGACAGGGTACTCTTCCAAAAGACAGACAACCTTTCTCTCTCCAAACAGGTAGAATCCTTTCCAGGCCTGTTAACACCAGGTCAGAGACCCCAGTAGATCACAGCCTTTTGCATATCAGCCAGCAGTTGTCCTTGTCCTAGAGAAGGAACTAATAGCTATGACAGACACAATCCCCAAGGAAACCAATTTCCTTCTAAATGGGGCGGAAATGAAAACTGGGAGAGGGCTACTCCTCGTTGCTTGTGTCCATGGAATAGGCAATTCCCACAGACCCTGTAAGGAAGTGCTGCAGGTGGCCTCAGGATGTCCACATCCCTGGGTCCTGCTGTGCCCTGGAAATCCCCATCTCCAGGAGTCCCACATCCACACATGTGGCTTTTCTCCCTGTCGGCCAGAAACCATGCTTTCTTAGCCACGCAGCATACCATGTAGCCCGTGCTCTAGCAGCAGCAACACTCCTGCCCGCCTGTCTGTGCATGTGTCCGTGGCACACTCCTGTCCTGGGCAGGTTTCCTCTGCACACTTAGCAGGGGTGCCAGTGTACCTCTCATCGTCCAGGTGAGGCCAAGGACAATTGCAAGCTTTTCCTCTGTCCTCTTCTCACTCCTTAGCTCCCCTCTCCTCTCCATTCAGTGGCAGCAGCCTCACACCAAGAAGGAAAATCCTGGACCCATTACATAATTCTCCATAGTGCAAGCAGTAGCTGGGGCGTAAGGTCAGAGGTCATAGTGGGGTCAGGTGGCTGACACACACTGTAACGACAAGGTGGTTAAAATTAGACCACAGAGAGGAAACTGGCAGTCTTGTGGAAATGCAGAAGTTTCCTATGCAAGTGAGAGGCTGGAGATGCAGGGAGGCCACTGTGCGTGCTGCCTGCCAGGCTATTACTCATTTCGGCTCTGTTCTTTAATGCCTTTTAGCCCCTGCTTCTGTATTTCTAGCCTTCCTCATCACATGTTTGAATACACGCAATGGAACCAGGCTTACCTGCCCTGGGCCAAGACAAGCTTCCCTTCTCCTTCACGGAGGCAAGCCCAGGACCAGGCACCCCAAGCTCAAGGGGCTGAACTTTTTCTAAGCCCTTCTGGGTAGCCGAGAACCTTCTACATCAACCTCTCAGGTGAAGGTGGTCAAAGTACTTAGCTTGAGATTCCAGCCTATAATGGTAACAGGGCCAATGGTGAGAGAAAGCAGAGAACACTCCTAGACCGTGTAGGAAAGCGGGGTTGGCTTTTTGGTGAAGGTGGCAGAGGATGCAGCCACAGAGCACACAGTTGACCGGTGTGTGCCGCACTTTCCTGGGCAGCCAGCCTGCACAGCGGTGCTCATTTATTTCCACTGTCTTAGAGAACATGGGTCATGCCTGCTTCATCTGCTCTCTGTGGTACCCAGCCGAGCTTCCCTGGGCTGTCCGTCTTTACTGTGAGCCTACTGTGTGCACAGCTTGTCCTTACAATTCTTGCCAGTGACGTACGAAAACGATGAGATTTAGGCTTTGCCACCAGAGGGGTTGCTGTCCACATGAGAGAGAGAACACCTGCACCTGTAAAATGATCATCAGTAGTCTCCAGGTTAGTACTTCCCTATGTGCTGCAGATAGAAGGCTTATTACTGTGAAGTTCCTTTCACACTAAGAAACGAGGATGCATTAAAAGAGAGGCAGGGGCTAGTCAGTGAGGATGAAGGGGCCGTCCCCTGTGGCACGTCTGGCCACGGACGTGTGTTTCCCATGTGGAATGGCCTTCAGCTTTCAAGCTCCAGATCCAGCAGGGCCCCTCTCCCTTGGTGAGCACTCAGCCAGTAGGGAGAAGAGGATGCTGGAGGCTAGAGATGAAGAGAAGGGCACACAGGGGCAAGCATGGAGGAGAGTGTGAGCCAAGCAAACGGGTGTGGAGGAGAGGGCATGCAGGTGTGGTGCCTCCAGAAGGGGGGCCCAGACTGGGGGACGGTGGACACTTAATCTGAGACACTTACACATTTGACTGTTGCTCAAGATACTGAGTTTCATCTCAGCTAAATCAGCCCAAGCTTCTCTGACAGCACTGACTTGTGTGCTGATGTGGCCACATGGGAGCAGGTTGGCGTAAACGTCAGAAAGAGTATAGCTTTGGTGAAACATCCCCACCTGCTCTGCCTGTCTCTCTCCTGACAATTTCCTGCCTGACTCTAGTCTCTTGAGCATGAGGAGCTCTTAGATAGGGCAGGAACCTGTCAGGGGAAGCCCAAAATGATCTGGTTGAAATGAAACAGCCAAGAAAGCCCTTAGCATTCAATTTGCACTTGGGCTGAAAATTCTCCTTTTGGGAGTCTGGAGCAGGGGTGCTGGGAGAGGAGTGGAGAGTGGCAGCGAGGGGCCCCAGAAAGCTCTATGCTGTGAAAGCACTCCACTCTTCCCTCTGCTGGTTCTAGACCAAACTTAGAAGATATGTCATATATTCTGTTTTGTATCAGGACCTTACTCAAATAAATGTAAGGCACCTGTCACTGGTCCCTGGGGTTGTCTGCTGCCCCAGAGATAACCTAAGGAGAGATAACCTCAGAAGATCTTGATCCTCAGCCTGCCCTGGGCCCTCACTTACCACCTGACATGCCCTTGTGCCCTCCGCACCCCGTCATTCATTCTGACCCCCTTGCCTGGTAGCTTTGACACAGTTCCCCTGTGCCCCTCAGCCGGCAAGCAACATCTCGTCTCCATCTTCCCTTTCAGAAAATGCTGTTTTTCTTCTCTCCCTCTCACCCTGTAGGTTATTGCAGCTGACTGCAAAAGGGTCACAGTGCTGAAGTATTTTCTGGAAGCCCTTTGTGGACAAGAAGAGCCTCTGCTGGCATTCAAGGGTGGAAAGTATGTGTCAGTGGCACCCGTCCCAGACACCATGGGAAAGGAAATGGGAAGCCAAGAGGGAACACGACTGGAAGATGAGGTACTATGCGGGAAGAGCCCGCTGTGGCAGAGGGAAGGCCCCCTCCCCATTCTGCTCGTGGCTTCAGCTTTTCCTCCTGCTTATTTATGAGCACAGAGAACAGCGTCTGTGTTAATGTGACCAGCCAGCTTCTCGAGAGTGTGCTCTGATGGTGCCCCTTCCTGCCAGTCCACCCCGGTGCCTCCATCCTACTCCACTACGAGTTCCAGATGCTTCTTTTAATGCTGCATTGAGGAGAAGGGAGGAAAAGAAAGAAAGGAGTTGAATAATGTGCAGCTCTCGAGGCTTAGGAAAGGGAGAGGGGGGTGGTCAGGATCAAGTTTATAGATGTGTGGAGCCCAATGCAGCACAGGCCTGAACTCCAGCCTCCAGCACACGTACAGGAAGAGCTGACATTGCTGGCCCTGTGTGGAAAATCACCCCTCCCCTGCCCTACCCTCCCTCCCTTGTTCCCTCCCTCCCTCCTGCACATCCTGATGTGATTAAGGAATTCTCCTCTTGTTTGTTTGCCCTTGGTTGTTCCTGTAGCCCTTGCTTCACTCCAGACTCGTGTGTGTGTGTCTGTGTGTGTGTGTGCGCGTCTGTGTGTGTGTGTGCGCACGCGCATGCACATGCATGAGCCTGTGTACCCGCCCCTGCAATAGTCCACTGGCAGTTGCCCTGCCCTATATATTGCCATTGCCTATTTGTGTCTTTCTGGGAGTGATTGTTGATGTGGGTCTGTGTGTGCTGGGTTTGTGTGTCAGTTTAAGTAAACACTGCTGCCAGCTTCCCTGCTCTCTGTGGGTTCTGAGTGGTTGTGAGTGTGATGTTGTTGGAGCATGTATGCATTTAGTATCACTTCCAGCTGCCCTGCTGTGTGTCTGGGTGTGGGTATTTCTGTCTGGATGTGTGTTCACACACACCTCACTTTTACCTGAAGGTTGACTCTTCTTTTTACCCCACAGTGTTAAAGACAAGAGACTTAGGTGGGAAGGAACATGGGACTAAGGGAAGGGACGGAAGCGATTCTAGCCAGGGGCCAGGTCACCCATAGGCCAACACAGTCATTTGGCCTGCAGCAGTCTCAAGCGCCCGGTAGAGCAGGGCGGGGTACAGGGATGAAGTCAGCAACAGGCCAAGGAAGCCAGATGTCAGCTGGAAGCTGTCGTTTGTGATCTGAAACAGTGATAGAGTGGCCACCTTTGGATCAGAGTCCTGAGAGCAGCAGAGTCTTGGACTGGCTTCATTAGAATAACTGGAGAGCCCCACCCCACCCCTGATGACATAGGGCTCAGCTTCCAGGACAGAGGTGGTTCCAGGGATAAAGCTGAGCCTAGGATTCCAGACTCTCCAGATGAAACCTGGGCAGAGAATAATGGGAAAGAATGAGCTGTTAGCATGGGAGGGGACAGCAGGCTTGCTAAAGCTGGCAGGGCATCCAGGCTTCAGGCAGGGCAGAGCAGTGCCACCCAAGCCCTGGGTACTGTGTGGGGAAGCACAGGTGGAGCAGTGCCTCCGTCAGCTCTTTCACCCGCACTTTCAGGCTGAGGGCACAGCCAGGTTAGCTCCCAGGCTTGCCCAAAGATGCCCTGTGGCCAGGGGAGCCTGCAGTCCCAAATCCAGTGAGGCAAGTGAGGCCCAGAGAGGGCCACAGCACCAAAGCCAGAGAAGGCCTTCTCTGCCCTCACAAGGAACAGATGACTTCTCTGGTCCCGGATCTTGGTAGTGCCACACTTTTTTTTCTCGTTCTAAGGCTTATTGACCAGACAAAGGTTGTGACCCACACCAGGCTGCCCACTTCTTCCTTTTCCCACGAGTCTCCTGGGTTCCTTCATGTTAGTGGCCTCTGGGAAACTGTGCTTACCCTGGTCTGTGTAATTTCATAACCTTGCACTTCCTCGTTTACTGTGAGAGCTGAGCCAACCTCAGACAAGCTTCTCTGACCCTCTTTTGACCTCAGTCAAGCTCACTTCAAGCCCCGTGATAACCTTGTATATCCCTAGTCAGAGCAGGCAGAGGCAGTGTTCCCCCATGGGCTAGGCAGGCATTCTGTCCCGCTCACTGCAGTCTGGGTTAACCTCATGAACAAGGAAGTGAATGTGCAGAGTTTTCCTTCTTTCCACGGCCTGGGCCTCTCTGGAGGTGAGCGCTGTGACACTATAGCATGCCTGTGTCAGATGAATGGTGACTGTGGACAGCATCCCAGACCCCTGACATCTCTTAGGATAGTGACAGTTCTGGCCCCATCCTCAGATCTCATCTCTCCCCAAACTGCAAAACTGAATCACTTCAGCAGATTGGGAGAGGTAGGGAAAGGTGTTTCTTCAGACATAGTTCTTTGTGAATAGAACACAGTTTAGTCGCTTAGGGATCCTACCAAAACACCCCTAGATTCTGCTCACAAGGCAAAGTATACCCCCGTCATCTACCCAGCCACCCACCTGAGTAATCCCTTTCAGTCAAGAGATTCCATCTGTATATGACCTTGAGCTGGACAGTTAGAGAAGAGAGCAGTCTGTACTGAACAGATCTAGGGTGGGCCTGCAGCAGGCCTCACGATGCTGAGCCACTGAGGGCTGGATCTGAGCTTCTGGTCTGGATTCAGGATGGCTTAGCTTATTATTATTGGTAAGAGCATAAACTTTGGAGTCAGATTCACTTGGGCTTCAATCCCTGTTCTGCCTTTACTAGCCATGTGACCCTGAGCGAGGTGTTGACTTCTAAACCTCAGTTTGTTCATTTATAAGATAGGGATGGTGATAGCACCTATCTTATCTCACAGGCTGTTGTGAGGATTAACTGAGTTAATACATGAAAAATGGGTAGCCCGGTACCTGGCCAGTAATAAGCACTCAGTAAGTGATAGCTGTTGTCATCACTGTCATTATTATAATCCAGTTAGAAACAGGAACCTTCTACTAAATTATTCCCTGTGTACCCATGCTAACCCTGTCCCTCAAAGGAAGCTATCTTGGGCAGCTGCATGTTCTCTGTTGACCAAGGCCAAAAGTAAGAAAGCAAGGAATGGAGCCTGGGACCACCCAGGGAGTGATGGCTGCTAAGAGCTGAGGCTGCAAGTAGGGAGGTGCCATCCTTGGGGAATGTGCCACCAGCCTGGCAGGAGGCTCCTTAAGCCAGCCAGCCACCTCCTACCCTGCCCAGGCCATTGAGGGCAGCTGAGCAAGGTCATGTCGTGTGAATTCCAGTAAAGGGGCCCAGCAGTCCTCACACCACCAGGCTGGAGTCTTCAAAAGAAACCAGGGCGAGGTCTGCTGAGCTGCAGCATCTGTCCCTGATGCTGTCTGCGGCAAGGGAACTTCCACGCCTCATTCCCAGCTGTTGGCCAGAGCTGATTCCTATCAGATCGTTAGCATGAATTAGATTTAAGTTGGGTGGTTTAACTTTCTCTGTTGTTTCCCTCTTGAATCATTGGTGACTTCAGAATGAAAATAGGCCTAAAGTTTGACTTTGTGAGTGTGTACCAGGAAGAACACAGAGTGTGAGTAAAGCACGCAGGTATATATGTGTGATTGCGAGTGACTTATGGTGTAACTCTCTGAGGGAAAAGCCCCAGAGTATAAAAGAGAGCAGCTCCGGGGGAAGAGTGACAGCTTTTGTCAACCTCCCTTTGCCTGAGTAGAGGGAAGCACACACCAGGGGACCCTTTGCAAGGGATGGTCCCAGTCTGCGTGGGTGAGGGGCCACAAGGGCAATGTTGGGTTCAGTAAGAGCCATGGGCCCAGCTAACTGTCTCCTCTTTGTCCTGGTCGGCTCCACCACCCAAAGGAGGAGGATGTGGTGATTGAAGACTTTGAGGAAGATTCAGAGGCTGAAGGCAGCGGAGGCGAGGATGACATCAGGGAGCTTCGGGCCAAGAAGCTGGCTCTGGCCAGGAAGATAGCTGAGCAGCAGCGTCGCCAGGAAAAGATCCAGGTGAAGTCGGCCTGGGGAGCGTGGTTCCCACTATGGGGGTTGCTGTCTAGGGCATGAGAGGATGTGGGCAGAGAGCAGAGCTGAGCAGGACACTAAGAGTGAGTCAGTCCTGCAGTGTTCTCTCTAGCTCTACCCGTTTTTCACTCTACCACTAAATTCTGGTAGCAGGTTTGGTGCCTAGAGTCTCCCTCATCCTGGGCTCCAAGGCAGGGGTACGGTCTTCTCAGAGACTCTGAGAAAAGCTGCTTCCCCAGTGAGAATCTCCAAATGCACACCACACATACATGATCTTTCACACAATGTGAGGGGTTTCAGAGTTTCCCTGAGCCTTATCCAGATATCCCTGGAGAGGCTGTGGATTCTTACTTCAGAACGCCTGTTCCCAGGGAGAGGATGGCATGGCCACAGTCTGCTTGCCTGGATTCCCAATGAAATGGAAGACTCCTCTGGACAAGATACTCCCTACACCCTTGCAGAGACAAACTACTTAATCTCCACACAGGGACTTTGACCCCCATCAGCCCTCTCACGGGCCTGTGCCTTCACCCCCAGCAAGTGTTTCTTCCTGGCCTTCTAGGTCTGTTCCCTTGTGCTGTGAGGCCGTTTGCTGTCCTCTAGGGCTCGGGGCAGACAGGGAAGAGGCAGTCCTGCTCCCCGTTTAAAGGTGAACCGTGTGCATAGGGAAGCATCAAGCCACCCACTCCGCTTCTTTAAGGATGCCCATTTCCAACCCTGTCCTTTGGCATAGGGTTTGATGCATGTGATCAGGCAGACCCAGTGACAGTCTAGGCCCTGCCACCTAAATAGCTTTGTAACATGGGGCAAATCATTCAGCTTCTCAGAGCCTGTTTCCTCATCTGTTAAATGAAAGTGCTGGCCGGGCGCGGTGGCTCACGCCTGTCATCCCAGCACTTTGGGAGGCTGAGGCGGGCGGATCATGAGGTCAGGAGATTGAGACCATCCTGGCTAACATGGTGAAACCCTGTCTCTACTAAAAATACAAAAAATTAGCTGGGCATGGTGGTGCACACCTGTAATCCCAGCTACTCAGGAGGCTGAGGCAAGAGAATCGCTTGAACCCGGGAGGCGGAGGTTGCAGTGAGCCAATCTTGCACCATTGCACTCCAGCCTGGGCTACAGGGTGAGACTCCATCTCAAAAAAAAAAAAAGAAAAAAGAAAAAAGTGCTAATAGCACCTATCTCTCAGAGTCACTGTGAGGCCTACACGAGACAGTGTATGTAAAGCACTTAGCATAGTGCATGGCACTTAGTATGTGCTCCATGAACGGCCACCTTTGTCTGATATTTGTCTAATCACCCTGGCCAGGGAAGAGGAATAAATACCAATCGAGAGCCATCTTTTTTTTGTTTGTTTGTTTTTGTTTTTGTTTTGAGACAGAGTCTCGCTGTGTTGCCCAGGCTGGAGTCCAGTGGCATGATCTCAGCTCACTCCAACCTCCACCTCCCGGGTTCCAGCGATTCTCTTGCCTCAGCCTCCAGAGTAGCTGGAATTACAGATGCCTGCCACCATGCCCAGCTAATTTTGTATTTTTAGTAAAGACAGGGTTTTGCTGTGTGTGCCAGGCCAGTCTTGAACTCCTGACCTCAGGTGATCTGCCCGCCTCTGCCTTCCAAAGTGCTGGGATTACAGGCATGAGCCGTCACACTGGCCAAGATCCATCATTCTTTTGTTTTGTTTTGTTTTGTTTTGTTTTGTTTTGTTTTGTTTTGTTTTGAGATGGAGTCTTGCCCTGTTGCCCAGGCTGGAGTGTAGTGGCGCAATCTCAGCTCACTGCAACCTCTGCCTCCCGGGTTGAAACGATTCTCCTGTCTCAGCCTCCCAAGTAGCTGGGATTACAGGCGCCTGCCACCATACCCAGCTAATTTCTGTATTTTTAGTAGAAATGGGGTTTCACCATGTTGGCCAGGCTGGTCTCAAACTCCTGACCTCAGGTGATCTGCCCGCCTTGGCCTCCCAAAGTGCTGGGATTACAGGCGTGAGCCACTGCGCCCAGCCTCCATCATTCTTTAGACAGATTCACGTCCCTGCTACCATTGGAATCAGTGTGTAATACCTCTACCAGCATCATCCATTGTCATGTGGCTGCCTCCCCAGCCCTGCTGTGGGTCTACATGTAAACTTGTGCATGATCCTCAAAACAGCTTTATCCTCATGCTTCTTTTACTTTTTTTTTTTTGAGATGGAGTCTCGCTGTCGTGATCTCAGCTCACTGCAACCTCCACCTCCCAGGTTCAAGTGATTCTCCTGCCTCAGCCTCCCAAGTAGCTGGGATTACAGGCATGCACCACCACGCCCAGCTAATTTTTTTTGTATTTTTCGTAGAGACCAGGTTTCACCATGTTAGCCAGGATGGTCTCAATCTCTTGACTTCGTGATCTGCCCGCCACGGCCTCCCGAAGTGCCCTTATGCTTCTTTTCTTGCTCTTCCTTACCATCTGTTTTCCCAGAAATTCTGTTTCTACCGTTATTTCTTGACTCTCAACCCAGCAGTTATGGAAACTGTTGCGTCAAAAGTCACCAATATGGCCAGGCACGGTGGCTCACGCCTATAATGCCAACACTTTGGGAGGCCACGGTGGGTGGATCATTTGAGATCAGGAGTTCGAGACCAGCCTGGCCAACATGGTGAAACCCTGTCTCTACTAAAAATACAAAAGTGAGCCGGGTGTGGTGGCGGGTGCCTGTAGTCCCAGCTACTCGGGAGGCTGAGGCAGGAGAATCTCTTGAACCCAGGAGGCGGAGGTTACAGTGAGCCAAGATTGCGCCACTGCACCCCAGCCTGGGCAACAGAGCAAGACTCCATCTTAAAAAGAAAAATCACCGATGACCTATCTTCATCAAACCTTAGTCTGTGTCATAGTTGACCAATCACCAATGACCTATCTTTATCAAATTTCAGTCTGTGTCATAGTTGACCTCCCTTTGTCTTTGGGCCCTAAAGCCACCTTCCTTCAGCTTCCCTTCAGCATCGATGAATGACCCCTTGTCTTCTCCCTGTTCGCCAGACCACCCTCCTGGGCTTCCTCACCACCATTCTTTTTTTGGTCTCCTCCATCCTTCCTTTTACTCCTTAGTCTCAGCAAGCTGAGTTAGTGCTCAGCAGATATGTATTCAGTGGCTGGGCGCAGTGGCTTATGCCTGTAATCCCAGCACTTTGGGCAGCCGAGGCTGGCAGATCACTTGAGGTCAGGAGTTCAAGACCAGCCTGGCCAACATGATGAAACCTCATCTCTACTAAAAATACAAAAACTAGCTGAGTGTTGTGGCGGGTGCCTGTAATCCCAGCTACTCAGGAGGCTGAGGCAGGAGAATCACTTCAACCCAGAAGGTGGAGGTTGCAGTGAGCCGAGATCGAGCCATTAGACTTTAGCCCTGGGCGAGACTCTGTCTCAAAAAAAAAAAAAAAGTATTCAGTGACAATAATAGTAGCAACTAGAGCATCATCTTAAATTCCACTCTGGCTTTTAACCCCTAGTATCTAATTTCATATTAAATACTATTTATTCACACATTTATTCCCTCTTCTCCTCTCTGTTTCCATTGCCACTACTACTATTCTAGGTCAAGTAGTTGCTTAGAGTGTAGCAGTCAAGGCCCCTGCATTGCACAGCCCCAGAAGGTGCCATTTGCCTTGTTTCTGTAAGTGGCACCTCCTGGAGTTTGTAGCATACCAGGCTCCTGCCCACCAGGCTCCTATTCACTGCACTGCCTCCATCATTCTCTTCCTGAAAGAGCCACTCCCCTGCTCAGAAATCATCAGGCCTTTGCTTGGCTAGTAAAAAAAAGTCTTAATTCCCTATTATTGGCATTTAAGGCTTTTTGATCTGTTCCCAGTCTGTTTTTCCAGCCTCTTCTCCCACTACCCCATCCCTCATGAACCCTTACTAGTTATATGACATTGGGCAGATTATTTAACTTTTCTGAGCCTGTTTCCTCATCTTTATAATGAAAGTAATGCCAGACACAGTGGGCACGTGCCTATGGTTCCAACTACTCAGGAGGCTGAGGCTGGATGATAGCTTGAGCCCAGGAGTACAAGGCTATGGTGTGCAGTGATCATGCCCGTGAATAACCACTGCAACATAGCAAAACCCCGTCTCTTAAACACTTTTTTAGTGAAAGTGGTAAAAGCACCAATATTAGAGCTGCTGTGAGGCCTCGGAATGAACCACAGTGCACGTAAAATGCCTGTGCAGACACTAAGGCCCTCCTGCCTGGACAGTGACACCCACCTTCCTTTCCACTCCCTAGGCATGCTCTGCCTTTTTCCACTCGGGTTTTTGTTCATGCTGTCCCTCAAAGCAGAGTGCCCTTTTTCTGCTCCATATGTCTTGTTACCTGTCGAAATTCTATTCCTCCTTCAATCCCCAGATGAAACTCCACTTCCCCAGTGAAGCCCCCCCTGGTCTCCCCCAGGAGGAATCCGTCTGCCTCTGCTTAGCGTTCCTGTGACACTCTTCAGGCTTCATTTGTGGACCTGCCATCATGTCTCATGTTCCAGTTATTTCTGGACTTGTTTCCCACATTGTCTGTGCACTCCTTGGAATCGGGAGGCATGTCTTCAGCTCAGTTTAGCAAGCGGCATTGAGCATTTACTGTGCCAGTGTCTGGGGGACACAGAACTAATCACATTCCAGAGTGTACAGTGGTACAGTGTGGTAGAGTCCTTGACAAGTGATTTGAAGTGTGAATGAGCGTCCGTACAAAACGCAAGTCCAGGATGCCGAGGGAGCACATGCTGCCAGGATCCATCCGCTTCTGGAGCTTGGTGTTTAGCTTTGCCTCTCCAGCGACCAGCAGCACCTTCAGAATTGGAGGTCTCCTCCAACGCTTGACTTCCCGTGCGCCTGGTGGGCCCTGTCCAGGCTGCCTGTTCTCCTGATCAGCTCCTTCTGAGGAAGCTGCTTAGGCCCAAGCATGGAAGGCCTGCTGCGGGCCAGCTGGAGTTGGGGTTGCTGTGGCCCCTTTAAGAACAGGCCCCACATGCACCAAGCTGGCGGCCCTGCCTCCTGTCAGCCTCCTTCCTCCAGCCTCACAGCCACAAGAGGATTTCTCAGCAGAGGAAAAATTCCCCCCTTCCCTTCCCCACCCCGCTTTAATGCCCGGGGCCCTTCACTTCCATAATTCTTCATTTTCCAGCCTTGAACGTAAGCCAGACACATCTGTCTGGCCATATGCGTGAACCCTGGAGTCTGTGCCGAGGTGGCTGTAAAACAGGGCCGGTGAAGGCCCTTCTGGGAGAGCACACACATGTGTGCCCTCAGGCCATTGGCTTCCTGCCCAGAACCACGGGGGCTTCAGTGCTCCAAACCCATGCTAACCTTTTCTCATTTTTCCTCTTTTTGTTTAATTTAAGGGGGGAAAATCCAAGGAAAAGGTATAAATTGTCCTGGGAGTTGGGGAGAGGCTCCTAGCTGGAGAGGCCATTATTGTTGGCAGGTACCTGGGTCACACTAATACAATAAGGAAGAAAGGAGCATCGAGTGAATTAAGATTGGAGGGATGGGCTGTAAATTACCCTGCTCTGAACTCCATCAGTCTCCAGGGTGTTAACCGAGAGGTGTAAGGCAAGTCCCCGTTCCCAGCGCCTCTCACAGATGTGGCAAAACAGGAACCACGCATGTTTGGGGAAGGGGATGTGAAGATGGGGTTGAAAAAAATCCTCCTGGCCCCCAGGATAGCTATAAAGTCCAAGTGAGATCTGGGGCTGTAACCACACCCCCACTTCCCTGCTCTTACCTAGACCCCTGGGCCGCCTAAGCTCTTCTGTGAGCATGGGGGAGGTGAGGCCTGGTCTCCCTCTGCAGCCTGTCCCTCCCTGCTTCCGGCGTTGCACAGAGGCTGGTGAGTGGGGCCGACTGGAGGTCAGAAAAGGGGTGTGGGGAGCTCTCAGAGCCTGTGCAGCTGGAGCTGCAGCGCCCAGGCAGGCCCCTGGATGCTGGGGGCGCCAAGTCCGCCCACCCAGGGCTTTGAGGCCACACTCTCCGGCTCAGCCCACGCTCTGTCTTGTTGCCTGAGACAGCTCCTCCTGTGGGTTCTGCCCACCTTGCTGCTTTTCTCCTGAGTTCTTTTTGTTCCCATTGCCATTTGGAGTTGTTCAGAGACCAGGGCAGGGTACATGGTTTGGGAAGTTGGTCAGAAGTGTTTGATTCCTAACCAAACCACCAGGGCAAAGCAGTCACTGAAAATGCTCCTCCAGGCATGAGGCGTGGCCTCTTGGCACCTCATGCTGGCCCTGGCCCTGTGAATCCCCCGCTTCCTCACTGCCTCTCTGAGGCTTTGCTGTGATTTGTGCTGCTGTCGGGCGGGGTCAGGTTTCCTGAGCAGTTGCAAACATCCCACCTGAAACATAACAGGCTCTTCCTCTGGCCACATCTATTGTTTCCCTCAGCATTATGGCCACAGTCTTGCTCTGTGGCCAGCAATGACATGTGTTCTCAAAATAGCTTCTCTCCCCTGTCCCTTTCCCGCCCACCCGCCCTCCTGAAGATGTAGTCCCTCCTTTGTGGTGGCCCCAGGAGTTCCACTCTAAATTTAGCTGCCGTCCATTCATACTGCCACCCAGCTAGGGGGGGCTGTTGTGGAACAATGGGGTATACACAGAGCCCCCCACACCTGTATGGAAGCTGGCGGAAGGCAGACACTCAGGCCTGGCTCCTGGCTGTCGGAGACAGGGTGGGAGCCAGCACAGCACCAGGCCGGGGGCACGTTCACGTCAAGGCAGGAAAGCACATCAGCCTGTGGAGCGGGCATCCGCCCTTCCCACCCAGACCCGCTCCAGCCTCCCCAAAACCTGAGTGCTGGGCCCCAGCTTTTGCTCCAGCACCATCCACTGGGGGCCTGGCTTCCCACAGAGTGGCCAGGCCACTGTCTGAAACGCCCTCAGGCTGCTGCTCAGAGCAAGCTCAAAGGTGTCATGCTTAGCCCTGCCCCTCCCTCTCCATCAGGAAAGGGCCTGCCTGCTTCTTTGGCTTTTTAGATCAAGTTATCAGTTAAAATTCAATCCGATTATCTTTAAGTGCCCTTCAGCTCTGAGAGCCAGTGACTGAGCCCACTGTCCCCCGAAGTCCTATGATACAACAGGCGGTATGGGAGGTATGACAATGGAAACTGCAAGAAAAGTAGGCAGTTCTCCTTGAGCACTTGACAGTCTAGTTTGAAAATAAGATGAGTCCTCCTAAAACAGTAAGAAATAGCAAACAAATTGCCATAGTTATCACTTTTAAAAAGAGTGCAAGAATATATTAAGCTCTGTGGTACATTTGGACATCCAGAAAAGGAGTTCTAAGCAGCAGTTTTTCATTTGCAGTGTACCCCAAATGAAGATGCTCCTCCTCCTGCTCCCAGGGGATGCTGCTGGTGGCTCTGCCTGCCTTTTCTAGCACCCTCAGTATCTGCCCTCGTTGGCTTCTGCTGGCCCAGGATGAACAGTTAGCCAGTGCTTATCTCACCCACTGTTCCTATTTTTATTTTATTTCCAGTTTTTCATGTACATCCACATAGTTAAGATACATATATACAATAAGTCTTTTCATAGAAATCAGAAGCGCGGGCATGGTGGCACACACCTGTAGTCCCAGCTACTCAGGAGGCTGAGGCGGGAGGATCACTTGAGCCTGGGAGTTTCAGGCTACAGTGACCTGTGATCGCACCACTGCACTCCAGCCTGAGTGACAGAGTTAGACTCTCTCTCTCTCTTTTTTTGAGATGGAGTTTTGCTCTTATCACCCAGGCTGGATGGAGTGCAGTGGCATGGTCTCGGCTCACTGTAACCGCTGCCTCCCGGGTTTAAGCGATTCTCCTGCCTCAGCCTCCCGAGTAGCTGGGACTACAGGCATGTGCCACCATCCCCGGCTGATTTTTGTAGTTTTAGTAGAGATGGGGTTTTACTATATTGTCCATGCTGGTCTCAAACTCCTGACCTCAAGTGATCCGCCTACCTCTGCCTCCCAAAGTGCTGGGATTACAAGCACGTGCCACCACGCCTGGCTAATTTTTATATTTTTAGTAGAGATGGGGTTTCACCATGTTGGTCAGGCTTGGATGAGACTCTGTCTCTTTTTTTTTTTTTTTTTTTTTGAGACGGAGTCTCGCTCTGTTGCCCAGGCTGGAGTGCAGTGGCACCATCTCGGCTCACAGCAACCTCTGCTGCCTGGGTTCAAGCAATTCTCCTGCCTCAGCCTCCCGAGTAGCTGGGATTACAGGCATGAGCCACCACGTCCAGCTAATTTTTGTATTTTTAGTAGAGACGGGGTTCCGCGATGTTGGCCAGGCTGGTCTCGAACTCCTGACCTCATGATCCACCCGCCTTGGCCTCCCAAAGTGCTGGGATTATAGGCGTGAGCCACCGTGCCTGGTCTGAGACTCGTGTCTCTTTAAAACAAAACAAAACAAAACAAAAAAACGCTGGGCACAGTGGCTTACGCCTGTAATCCCAGCACTTTGGGGGACCGAGGCGGGCGGATCACCTGAGGTCGGGAGTTTGAGACCAGTGTGGCCAACATGGTGAAACCCCATCTCTACTAAAAATACAAAAATTAGCCGGGCGTGTTGGCTCACGCTTGTAATCCCAGCTACTTGGGAGGCTGAGGCAGGAGAATCGCTTGAATCTGAGAGGCAGAGATTGCAGTGAGCCGAGATCACGCCACTACACTCCAGCATAGGCATCAGAGCAAGACTCCGTCTCAAACAAAACAAAACAAAACAAAACAAAAAAAACACATCAGTAGTCCTCTGCTCCACCCCTCCTCATCCCCAGTTCTATTTCCTGGTGGTTTCCCCCTGATATTTATGCTCTGGATATGTAGAAAATAAAAAATAGAGTTAGGAAGGAAGAAAGGAAGCTGGCATTTATTGAGTTACTAATATGTGTCAGGCACTTTGCTAGGTACTTTCATATATAAGGTGAATGTGGAAATTTCCTGTGTTACAAAGCTTCTAATTTCTGTTGAAGACATTGCTCTGGCCAGAGAGGCTCAGGGATGAATGATTCTTCACCCTGTAGAGGGAAGGAAGCAGCCGCACTCCCTATGGGAGCCCCTAAGCAGAAGGAAGACCTCAGAAGGCCCTCTCCTGGTCTTGCTCTGCTTCATGATCCAGGTTCTCCAAGTGCCACACCTCCTGTGTCAGCTCATTGAATTGCTGTTACTTGTAATGTTCAGTGTCTCAGCTTGCAGCGGTAAGCATCATAAGATCATCTCCACCGTAGAGAAGGAACTTAACCTGCAAAAGTTTTTCCTGGAGACCCAAGCCTGTTAGCTTCCTCCTTAGGTATTATTGTATATGATCTCTTTCCCAGTTCTCTGCCAGCTTGCTCCAGGAAACTCCCATACCTTAGAGAAAGTTAGTTACTTAGCACCTTCCAGAAACAGAATTATTTTTTTCTTCCACATTTTATGCCAACTTGGGTCCTTATTGCTACCAACCTGATTCAGAGTGTCCGTGTGTTGCTTGGGTTCCAAGGGCACTATCCAGGGATCACTGTGGCCCAACCTCAGCTGCTGTTAGAAGGTTCCTGTGGAACTCTCCTTCCGGGTCAGCACGCTTGACTCCATGCCAGGGCCAGTCTGTCTGAACCACAGCATTCCGGTTGCACCCCCCTCACCCCCACCAGAGGCTTCTGCAGCTTTTTACTCATACAAACAAAAATAAACCTCACTACCGGCCTCTGAACTCTGCAGCGGCATGCTTCCCCTGCTCCCCAAGTGTCCCATGGCTGCGAGTGGGGACTTGGCACTCTCCCCACCGACATCACTTTTTCACTCCCTGCGCATCCTGTGTCCTCCTCTTACCGTGCGACCCAGAGATCGGAATGGGACGTGACGGCCGGCACAGGCGCCGTGCACAGCTGCCAGGAATCTGACGGGTAAAATCTGGAAAAGTTGGGAGGGCAGATGCTAAACACACACACACACACAGCGCCACTCAGAAAGGGCCGGAAATGCAGACACCCGTAGAAGGGTGCCTGTGGACTCCGAAGCCCTCCTCCGCCTGCCACTCTTTTTAAGGGGACTGAGCCAGTCTTGTGACCCAGGTGTGACCCCCCCCGCCCAGAGGCCCACCGGTACCCCAGGAGAAAAGGGAGCAGCTTCATCTCATCTCCTGAGACTCCATGAGGGCATGCGGGGAACAGGAAGCAGTTGTTTGGTGACTCACTGGGCAGAGCCAGGTTAAGGGAAGTTGTCTGCGGGCGTCCCTGGGACCGGATGATGGCAGCACAGCTCTGACCACCCTCACGGGGCTTGGCCCCACCCCACACCCAGGGAAGCCCCCTCTGAAAGGCTGCGGCCTATTCACCTTTCTAGCTGCAAGCCAGAGCTAAGAACCCGGGGAATTTAGAGCGTCTCTGGACCTCGCTTCTAGATTTTTCTTCTGTCCTGCCATCAGAACACACAGGTAGGCTCAGTTTGTCCCCAGCATCCCTCAGCCACCTGGCTTCAAGGCTCTCCTGCCTAATTGCCAGCAATAGAGGTAGGATGGTACCAGGGCTTAGGAGCTGACTGTTCACATAGGGTAAAAAAAAAAATGGCAGCCACTTCCTTGATAGAGTCAGACCAGGCTGGACGGTTGTTTCTCAAGGCAGGAGAACTGAGATGGTAGTGGACTTGCGGGGCAGAGGCAGAGGCAGAGGCGCAGTGCAGAGCCGGACCCCCAGCCCCTGTCACTCCAGCTGCCACTGCTCCCACGTCTCCCTAAGCCATGCTTGTTCTGTCCCTGCTCACCCAGAAAGACAGATTTGAGAGCCACGGTACCAGGAGAGCATGCCTGGCAACAGAAGAGCTAGACGGAGAGCGCATGGCCTGAGAAATGAGGAACGAGAGTGCTGATGCTCCTCCGCAAGAGGAGAAAGGGCAGAGGGGTTTACTGAACCTGAGCAGGGACCATTTCCTGTTCTTACAAACTGCCCAAGCCAGGTTTGTTGGAATGCCTGTCACCCTCTAGGTGGCAGCCCTATGTAGAGGGTCAGTGACCCCGCCTCCCATGGGAAGGTAGCCCGCAGTAGTGGCACCTTGCTCTCATGAGGTGAGATCAGTAGGAAGACTTCAGCAGAGCGGGCCCCTGAGCTGCATTTCTCATGCCTGCCAGCGTTCTGTAGCCTGTGCCTTTACCAGCTGTGGTGGCAGTGGCAGCAACAACTTACTCATAGGGAGAGGTCCCTGGCAGGTCACAGAGAAGCCACCCCCATCATTTGAAGGCATGCCCTTTCAGTTTTACTGTCATTGTCAGTGAAACCTGAGCAGCCTCCTCACTGACTGTTGGTGGCCAGGACCAGCACTGTGGGCCCCATCTCGGTTGGCACGCACGTCCACTTCCCCAGCCCTGTGCCTGCATCTGGGTCTCTGCAAGTTGCTCTGTGGCAGAAGGCCATGAGAGGGTGTGACAGGGCTGGGACCTGCCCTCCTGGCCCCGCCAGGTTTGTGTGGGTGCCCTCCACCTCCCTACTCAGGGAGCATGCTGTCTGGGCAGATGCCAGCAGATCAGTTCGATTCTTGGCCATGGTCCCCAGAAGAGGAAGCAGTGCAGTAGTGGCCATGTTCTGTAGTGGCAGACATACCCAGAGCCGGTCTCGAAGGGCCGCTGCCACACGTGTAAGGCTGTCAGAGAAGAAAATCAGGCTTTTGCAAATGTGCATCTCTCGGGAACTTCCCTGAGAAATGTGAAAGTCCACAGGGAAGGCAAGCGCTGGGCCACGTGCTTGGTGAGAGGTGCTAGAGGAGGCGGTGGGACAGTGGGGCCAAGGAGACTCTTCTGCTTTTATTCTTTTGTCTACTTTTTGTTTGGCAGTTTAGCTTGCACTAGTAAGCATATGACTAGGCTGTCAATTGCTTAGTACCACGATATGGTTGCTGAAGAAGAGGCTAAGAAAAAAAGTGACAAAGTCAGTTTAAAGAAAAACGTCGAGTAAATAATAGTGTAGCTGGTACAGATTCGTGGCAAAGGAGCAGAGGTAGAACAGAAAAGACCCGTGTTTAGGAAACTGCGCTGGTCAAGGGCAAGGTGGTGGGCCATTGTGATCGACCTGGGTGTTGCTCTTTGCAGACACATGAGTTGAGTCTTAATTCATCACATTGCACGGACTTCGGCTGCTGCTGCAGGAGAATTTCGTATTATTAGCTGTCAGTATCACTTTTTTGTATAGCCTTTGAGTTCAACTTCATTGTTCGTTGTTTGTTGTTGTTGTTTTTGTTTTTTGAGACAGGGTCTCGTTCTGTCACCCAGGGTGGAGTGCAGTGGTGTGATCTCGGCTCGCTGCAGCCTCCGCCTCCAGAGCTCAGGCAATCCTCCCATGTCAGCCTCCCAAGTAGCTGGGACCACAGGCGTGTGCCACCACACCCAGCTAATTTTTTTTTTTTTTTGTAGAGACGGGGTTTCAGCATGTTGCCCAGGGTATATTTTATTTTGTTTTGTTTTGTTTTAGCTACACAGTGAAGTAAGTCAAAATAACAGATTCTGTTTGCATTTTCATGTCTAGATTGAAAAGTACCTCCTCTGTAGGCTTTCTAGATAATGTATGTGAAACCACTTTCATATCTAAGGAACCTAATTCTCCCTTGTTGAATTTGAGTCCCAGTCTTACTTTGAGAGACCTGTTATGTTGAATATCCTCAGGATCCTTTCTCAGCCCTCGGCAGGGTTGTACCCATGCCATTCCCTGGGCCCCTTGAGCTCTGTTTTTATTGCAGTGCTATGCTCAGCCCTTGGGCCTATCCCTGAGACCCGACGGGGACTGGTTATTACTGTGGAGGGGAAGAGGTTCCTAGGGGCAGGATGCTGACACACCGTAGTGTCAGGGCCCTGGCTCACCCACCTGCTTGCCTGCTCGCTGTCTGGCTCATTCACCACTCTGTCCCCATAGGCTGTCCTGGAGGACCACAGTCAGATGAGGCAGATGGAGCTCGAAATCAGACCTTTGTTCCTCGTACCAGACACCAACGGCTTCATTGACCACCTGGCCAGTCTGGCGCGGCTGCTGGAGAGCAGGAAGTACATCCTGGTGGTGCCCCTCATCGGTGAGTCAGGCGGGAAGGGCAGAGCGGCCTTGCATGTGCACAGCAGCCCCCTCCACACACGCCCCACGGCCTGGGGGCCAGGCAGGCAGAGCCCTGCTGTGCGTGTGTAAGATGGGATTTGCAGGGGAGTAGGGAACGCGTGGGGCAAAGAAAACTGTTTAATAATCAAAGTAGTTCACATTCTCATGGCTGATCCATGGCTTAAACTGCTTGAGCAAATGGACTCCTGTGTCCCAGCAACCAGAGGCTGCATGAGCCCAGCCCTTGTTTTTATCCTTATAAAGCTTGCAGTAAAACAGCAAAGCTGGTTCCCGTTATTGGTAAACACTCAGCCCTGGCAGATAACGGCAGTGCTGCTGGGTGGTCTGGCAGGGAGGCTGGGAGGATTTTGAAGTGGTTAGATGCCTTTGGTCTGATTGTCTTGTAGCTTTTCATGATCACTCTGTTGGTTCGAGGTAGCATTCTTCTGGCCAGTGTCACCCTAAGGCTAGGCCAGCAGGAACCCTCCAGAGCAAGCCCTTGGCTCATGCCTGTGGATTCCTACCACTTGGGCCCTTACCACTGTCTGGGCCTTGGTGCTGGTGCAGGGTCAGCATCTCAGGACCCAGCTAGCTTGCTTTCCCACCCTCTAGCCAGAGAGGCCCAGCTGGGCCGTCTCCACGGGACCGTCTGGGTACCCTTAGTTCTTGGAGCTCTGTGGTGGGTCAGCCTCAGGGTGGGCTCTGGGCTCTGGGCTCATATCTAGCTGATGGCCTCTGTGGAGGGAGAGAGTCTAGGAGATGATTGGGAGGCCCAGGCGTTTGCACATCCCCTTCTCAGCAGCTACTTGGAGCAAGTTTGAGAGCCTTGTCTTCTGGAAAAGCCACCAGACTGGCAGTCTGCCTGCCAAGCCACCTTTGACATCCATGCCAAGATGTTCCATTGGGCCTTCCCTCCCAGTCCCAAGTGTCTTAGTGCCAGATGGGGGTGGAAACAAAGGGCAGGAAACATCCGCCCCTGCAGAGGCTGCAGAACCCTGGGGGGTTGTGGGAAACACGTTAGCACCACCTGAGAATGTTGGCACCGAAGCAGCCCTCCTCCCTGCCTCCACCCTCCCCGTCTTCCTTCCCCTCCCCATGTGGCCTGGCCAGAACCTCTTAAATCCAGGCCCTTAGACCTAAGGGAAGGCTTTCTGCTCTTCAACAGTAGAACAGTTTCTGTCACCAAGGCAGGGCAGCAGAACCATCACGTTGTCCCAGGCTTTCCCTTCTCCTCGCTGGGGCGGGCTGCCTTGCCGGGTCATATGTCTCTCTGCTTTCCTACCCAGGAGCTTTTCAGGGGAAAGAAAGTGTTTTGCTAGATGGTCAGGAAAGGGTACAACTGAAAGAGGCTGTGGACATCTCAGGAGCCCCCTAAGAGCCGTAAGGTGCCTCAGACGCCGTCCCAGGCTGCCAGGGTTTTTTGTCACCAGGACTGATCGTACCCCAGGCTGTGGGCTGAGTCTCCTTGTTCTTGATCCGGTGAAAGGCAGGCTGTAGCCCTTGGCCCTGAGGAGCTTAGGGTTTAGTAAGGAAATCCGGATTCGGTGGGGAGGGAGCAAACGCATGAGAAAACCCAGCAGATACATGCAGGACAAAGAGACGACGCCTAAGGGTGCTGGGAACTGACAGTTGTGCTACAGCCATACAGGCCAGCCTCTCTGGACCTGCCTCAGCTGGGCAGGCTCCTGGACTCTCCCAGAGGCTGTAAGAGGAGGGCTCCTGTTTACTGATGCTTTCCTTGGTAGACTCACGTCCTGTGCCCAGAGCAGCAAAGGGTTAAGCCGCCAGCTTTCCCTTCTTGTTTCTGGTGCTCTTTAACCTGCTCTGTGCTCCGCAGACCTGACCCCAGCGTGGAGAAGCCCCGCCTGGTGCAGAAGCACAAACAAGCTTCCTCTTTGAAGCCTGTTTAGTTTGGAAGCAGGAAAGCAGATTTTGGGATAGAATACCCGTTTTTCCTGTTTGATGTTGTTTGCTGTACCATACACCCATCTACCACTGCTTCCCAACCTCAGCCATGCACTGTGTGGACACTGCAGCCTCAGGGTGCCGAAAGCATGGGCATTGTGTGTGTGTGTGTGTGTGTGTGTGTGTGTGTGTGTGTGTGTATTCCCACATGGGCCCTTTCCAGAAAGTGTCTCCGAATACCCAGACAATGAGTGCCAGGCTCACCATGGAACAGCATGCTCACGCCGGCTCCCTGAGCCATGAATCACTGCGCTAAGGAGAGGCCTCAGACCCCAAACTCTCCCAGAGCCCCCGAGGAGCACATATTTCCCACTTGACCTCAGGCTTTTGGCTGGAATTTTGGAAAGAATCTTCACCAGAAAATGAAGCCATGTCCCAGACACATAGGGAGGCAGACAGGCACACACACACACACACACAGAGACATATACACACATGTACACACATACACGCATACACATACACACATGTACACACACACATACATGTACACACGCACACAGACACATACACGCACACAGACATACACGTGCGCGCACACACACACGTGCAGTATCAGAGAAGGTAGATGTGCCAAGGTTCTGGTCTTGAGAAATACCAGGGCCTTGCAAATGAGGCTGTGACTGCCCCTTCCTCCATGGTGACCTCCCTGCACTCCACCAGTGGGGCTGGGGGTAGAACTTTACCCCTCCTGGACTGCAGTGTGTGTGGGCCCAAGGAGTTAAGGAAGGACGCCTCCCTTTCCCTCGAGCTGCTGCATACCCTGGACTCTCCTGAGGGACCCTTTCACGTGAGTCCTGTAACCAAGGAATGCAATAGAGGGACCAGATTTCTTCCTCTAAATACAGCAGCTCCAGAAGATTCCTTTAAGTTCCTCCCAAGAGGAGGGCAGGGCCCAGGAGAAGAGACAGAAAGGGAGTAGAGCCCTGTGAAATCTCGAGACACTTCTTGCCCCCACAAGCTCCCCTCCGGCCCTAGTTTCATTGGAAGACTCCTGTGGGGGAAGGATGGATTCTGGTCTGGGAAGGTGTTGGCTGGGAAAGTGAATGGACAGAGGCCTAGGATGAAAGCTGATTGCTGAGGCTGATACCTTGTGGGGCTCTATCTCATCAGTGATCAATGAGCTGGACGGCCTGGCCAAGGGGCAGGAGACAGACCACCGGGCTGGGGGCTACGCCCGTGTGGTACAAGAGAAGGCCCGCAAGTCCATCGAGTTCCTCGAGCAGCGATTCGAGAGTCGGGACTCTTGCCTGCGAGCCCTGACCAGCCGTGGCAATGAACTCGAATCCATCGCCTTCCGCAGTGAGGACATCACTGGCCAGCTGGTGAGACCCTGTGGCAGGAAGGGAAAGCCCACAGCCAGCTTCCAGAACAAGGTCTCCAGGAAGGAAGGGCTGAAGGAGGCCCATCAGCCTGGGCAGCTGAGGGCCAGCCACCATGGAGGCCCAGGTGGGGGAGTTCCTTCTCCCCTAAGTCACTCGTAGCACAGTCAGATCAGGCCAGGCAGGGCCAGCGCATGCATGGGAGGGATCGGGGAGGTGGCCCTGCCCAGGGCCCCCGAGGCAGAGGATCCCTCCTCCTCCTCCACATGGCGCCCCCTTCTGCCCAGTGGTGCTTCTCACACACGTCTTCCTCCAGGGTAACAACGATGATCTCATCCTGTCCTGCTGCCTCCACTACTGCAAAGACAAGGCTAAGGACTTCATGCCCGCCAGCAAAGGTACAGCTTTGCCTCCGCCTTGGGATCTTCCATCCCCACTGCCCTACCTCATCCTACCCATCCTCAGCCCCTGAGAAGGGCTCCACTGACTCTGGCCTGGGAAGTCTAAGGAATCAGTGCTCAGGGCTGATGTATGCCTGAGGCCCAACCTCCCTGTCCTGGCTCCCCCAGCCCCAGGGAATGCCAGGTGCACCCTGGGCCAACTAGAGATGAGCCTAGCCCAGGAAGCCCAGCCCTAGGCCGCGAGGTTCTTCACCCCGCATGCATCCGTTTCCTTTCTTGGGTGTCCTCAGTGAGTTCCGTCTGACAGCAAGAATGTCTTTATGATTCACTGTAGCTGGTGCTGGCCATGGTCTCCCGAGCCCAGCCCTCTGCAGCTCTGAGGGCAGCCCCCCAGGGGTCCCTGGGGCACACTTCCCTTTCTTGGCCATGCTTACCTTCCTACCTTCTCTGTTCACCCCTGAGTGTTTACCCTATTTCAGGCCTGGGGCAGAGGCATTTCCCCAGTGAATAGTGGGCTTTGCTTCCTGGTCTCTTTGGTCACAAGCTGTAGCACTTTGAAGGCTGGCTAGAGTTTGAGGTTGGTGAGAGCTTGAGGACTGAGCCCTCAGCCCGGTTTTCAAGACCTTTTGGGGTAAGCAGAATCTCATCTTTGGGCCAAAGGCCCACTCTGGGTTTCTCACCCAAGCGCTTGACCACCTCACCCTCAACCCTGAGCTGGCCTTCATGCCTCACCCCACAGGTCAATGACACTAGGGTTTTCTGCTCCTGGCTCCCAGGATTCTGGCATTTTTTTCATTTGGAAGGAATTCCTAGGACCTGCCAGCTCTGTGTCATCTGCAGAGCTGGCAGTTCTCACCGTTTCGTTTCTGTCTACCTATAAGTGGTCTCTTGTCATTGCCTTTCCGTCTCTGCTGCTCTCTCCTTTCTGTGCGTGTTTCTTTCTAGCCCTTGTGTTCAGGCTGCTCTGGGAGTTGACTCTCTCCTGCGTCCTCTCCCCATACAGACACAGCCCCTCACTCCTGCATGAGTCTCTTTACTAGGGGCTGGTTACGAGCCCACAGCCGCTACTCAAGAGAGGTCCTGTCCTGCCACCAGGTTTGCATGCCATATCCCTTGGGACCAGATATGAGCATTAAAGTGATAAAAGGAGACCTGGCTGAGCCAAACAGAGGAGGTTATGTTCTGTCCCCGGCAGCTCAGTAGTCTCTGAGTATCCCCTCACCCGAGGCCACCTTCTTCTCCCCTCTGCCCACCACAGCCCCTTGCCTCCCTTCACACTCTCCTTCCTCCTGTCGTCTTCTCTCGCCACCACCAACCCCACAAGCCTCTCCCTCCCAAATCCTCCAAACTCCTCCCCAGGCTGAAAGCCAGTTCTCAGCCTCCCTGCCTGGAGCTGGCAAGCCTGAGCTTCCTAGAGGGGTACCTCCTGAGAGAAAGGTAGGCGGGATTGCTGAAGGCCTTGTTGGGAAGTGTGGTTCCAGGACTGCTGGGCCCCACCCCAGCCTCAGAACTTTCTTTCTCAGAACGGACACATTTTGGCTTTGGTCCTACTAGTCCTCCCACCCCCGACTTCACCCCAAACAGCCTACAGGAACCCATTGCCATCCGGGGGACCGCCCCTATCAGAATGACATCAGCAATGGCTGGTGTAATCAAAGCCCATTTGTCAGTGTGAATTCTTAGCAGATTAACTTGTCAGATTCACAGAGAAACCGTCACTAAATGTTTATGTGTAAACGATGTTGAATTTTAAAATCATGTGGATTATGGCGGATGGGGCCTGACAAGATGACAGTCTCTGGTTTCTAACAAAGTGAAGTTACCAGTGTCAAAACAGAGGATGTTTATTGTGAAAAATGTCAAAGTATCCACAGAAACCCCTGCAGACCCCTGCCAGCAATGTCGGGCCTTGGTTAGCTGACCTAAGGCCTGGGACGCTCCTGGTTTGAGGCCCAGGGCAGGAATAGTGGGGCTGCTACAGACGCAGCCAGTCAGCTGGGAGCCCCACACAGCCCTGCATACCACCACCCCAGCCACACTTATCTGCAGAGGGGCCTGGCCCAGGCAGCTGAGTAGTCTCTGAGTATCCCCTCACCCGAGGCCACCTTCCTTTCCCCTCTGCCCACAGCCCCTTGCCTCCCTTCACACTCTCCTTCCTCCTGTCCTCTTCTCTCGCCACCACCAACCCCACAAACCTCTCCCTCCCGAATCCTCCAAACTCCTCCCCAGGCTGAAAGCCAGTTCTCAGCCTCCCTGCCTGGAGCTGGCAAGCCTGAGACTGCTCAGGTCCGACATGGATATTTGCAGCCCCCCACCCCCGCCAGCCCACGCAGTCAGTGAGCACAGCAGGACACTTCCTGTGCCTTGCTGTCTGCCGGACCTGGACCTCTGTCAGGAAATGCCCAGCCTGGGACTGACGAGTAGACCTGCCACCCAAGCAGGCCTGTCAGGGTAGGGATGTCACTTGTGTGAGTGCTTGTCCCTGGCTTAAATTCTCTCCAATGTGTTAAAGATTAGGGAGTTAGGGAAAGAGAGGTAGTGGAGAGACTGTGCTTAAAAAAAAAAAAAGTCATCTAAAAAGAATGAAAGATATCTGTGCCACTATAGCAAGACCTTTTAAGTATATACTCTGAAAGTGTGGCTAATATGATCATGATGCTGTAGGAAAAAAAGGTTATATGTCCAAGTGTATGTACTTGTAAATGTGCCTAAAGAAACCTGGAAGGATACACAGGTCTTCCCTGGGGTACAAGACGGAGAACTGGGATCATCATCTTAACTCTACTCTTCCTTTTTACTCTTCTGTCCTCTTAGAGACTTTCGCCTGTATACATGGATTACTGTTACTTAGCAGGGGCGACCGGTTGGCCAAAGCCTTGGTGTGCCCTTGGCACAATTCTGCCAAGACCCTTACCCTCTCCTCTCCTCAGGGCTCCCTTAACCCCTCTCCCCACATCTGGAAAACCCTGGATACATTTTCTGTTCCATCTTTAGTTTTCTGCCTCTGGATGCGTAAAGCTTCAACCTGCTGGCTTTTAGAGGGAGAGGACTTGTTAAAAAAAAAAAAGTGGGGTGTGGGGAGAGCGGTGTTGTGATCTGGGGGCCAGCCATGTGGTAAAAAGGAGTAGAGGTCAAGGGGCTGCTTCTATTCCCTCAGTTTAGGGTCCTGGGAGGCTGACGGGTTTGGGCAGCTTTTGGGAACTAGGCAGAAGAGAGTCCTGTATGGGAGGCCGGAGTCAAGGCAGAAGCCCAGTGCAGCCCTCTCTAGGCCAGCAGGGGAGGGTCCCCGGGGCTGAGAGCCCGGACGGAGGAAAGGACTGGTAGAAGAGCCAAGACACGGCTAGCGTGGCACCCCCTCCCCAGGACCACATTCTCCAGGGTGAGAAGAGCAGCCAGCCCTCTGCCTCCTGTCCTCAGTGACAGCCTTCTGCTCTCTCATGCCCACAGAGGAGCCAATCCGGCTACTGCGGGAGGTGGTGCTGTTGACGGATGACCGGAACCTGCGTGTGAAGGCGCTCACAAGGAATGTTCCTGTACGGGACATCCCAGCCTTCCTCACGTGGGCCCAGGTGGGCTGAGGGAGCCACACTGGGGCCCCCCCCCCGTGGAACCGTTCCTGAAAGGCCACCAGGCGCCCAGTGTAGCACGGAAGATGCCCACGTGCCTGAGCCACCAATCCACCCAGACAATAAACCATCCTCTTCCAACCCACGCCACGGCCATGCTGTGGGGGACC
Organism: Homo sapiens; assembly: GCF_000001405.40. Classification (NCBI taxonomy): domain Eukaryota; kingdom Metazoa; phylum Chordata; class Mammalia; order Primates; family Hominidae; genus Homo; species Homo sapiens. The sequence goes on along the minus strand of NC_000017.11, from coordinate 2,061,333 downwards.
TGCTCCTCACAGAGCCCCTCCCAAGGATCGGGCGGAAGCTGCTGGGACCCTCCTGGGCTGCCAGGATTTAGCAGGGAGGTGGCTGGCTACAGCAACAGCAGCTGGGCAAGCCAGATAGGCCGCCCATGCTCTCAGCCTTTCTCCCTCCCCCGTCTCATTCCAAGGCTGAGGGAGGGCCTTCTCGCCTGGGGACGCAGCCACTTTCTCCAGTGGAGACAGGGCAGGGGTTCTGAGTTTCCGTCAGATGCAGTGAAATCACAGTTCCCTTTCATCTTCAGAACCTCTGTCGTGAATGTGTTCAAGAGGCTTTGGTTAAGTCAGGAAGAAGTGCCCAGGGTGTGTGTCCCCAGTCTCCCTGAGGCCTGGACTCGCCCATGAACCCAAGTCGGCTTCTAGACAGCATGTCCCTAACAGCAGCCCTGGGCCCCCACCTCTTCTACCATCCACCCCAGACTTACCACACACCCTTCCTGCTGCTCCTCTTCCTGCCCTTATCAACCTGGGTCCCTCACACTTCGCCAGTTGCGTCCCCGTGGACAGTCATGAGTCTAGAGGAAAGGGGCATCTGGTCTCAGGCCCGTGCTCTCGGGTGGCCTCCACCTGCTCCCTCTCTCCTCACTGGCCTTTCTTTCCGTCTAGCTTCCTCTTCAGGAAATGTCCTGACTCCCCTCAGCTCCCCCTTCACCCCTCCTTGCCCGCCTACCCTCCCTCCAGAATAGCCCCTCACCCTTCTTCCCCTTCTAGTTGATCCTTTTCACCTCCCTGATCCCCTTCATTTCTTCACCGCGGTTCCTCGTCATAGGGGTTCTCACTCTGAACTTTCCCTCTCTACTACCCATGGCAGGAACCTAGTACAGGTCTCCCACCCAGGGCCTTCCACCCTCGGCTCCTGTGCTGGGAGAAACTTCCAGGCGTGGACAGCCCAGCCTGAGGCATTCCAGTGCTGGGGCACCGTCGCCTAACCTGGTTTCTAGCTTTGCCCTCACTCCCCGGAAAAACTGACACTGACACAGGGGCCCTTTCCTTGCCCCTTTAGCTGGTACCTCAGTGGGGAGGCTTCCTTACCAAGAATGAGTTCCTGAAACCCAGGGCCAGAGACAAGGACAACTTAGGGGAAGACGGGGTTTTCGGTGGAGCCAGGGGCAAATCTTAATGGGACCAGTGGGGGATACCCCAGAGCCCATGGCCTGACTGCACAGCCTGCCTGGAGGATGGGTGCGCAGCTCTGCCCTCCCTGAGGCCCAGGACTATGCCAGAAGCGATGGGGTACCGTGTAGGGGAGCCAAGGCCAGTAGTTTGGGGGTAGGAGTCCCCTAGAGTCTCAGAAGACTGGGCTCTTTGGAGTACAGGGTCCCCGGCCTCTCCTTTAAGATTCTCTCCCCAGCTGGAAGGCCGATGACTGGGTGGTCGGGAGGGAGACCCAGCTCTCCTTTCTGTCCCGTTTGCAGCACTGGTTTTGTTTCCTTAATAAATTTTTAGTTATGAAACATACCTGACCTCTTGCTGATCTGTTTCTGGGACTGGGGAGGGAGGCAGGTCCAAGCCTCTGCACCTGTGTGAGGGTGGCCCTTTCTGGCTCCTCCACCCAGCGGGCGCAGCCCATCCAGGTCCTTGTGCAGGGGCAGAAGAGAGCAGCGGGGTCGGGGTCCTTGGTTACTGCTTTATTGCTGTTTGGTTCGAGTATAGAAAATGGAAGCGGCTCTGGAAGAGCCTGTGTACAAGGTAGGAAATATACAAACGAAGAGGAGGGAGCTAAAGAGACCGCGTTCCAGCCCAGCCCAGCCTGGGCTCGGGATGGGGGGCCGCCGGGGCGCATGCAATAAATATGGTCCGGGGCCGCAGGGAAGGGAAGGGAGGGCACCGCGGGAGTGGGAGACCTGGTGGTAGGCTCTTCGCCTTCCGACTCCAGAACTCCCCGCCCTTGGTGACTGAGGAAGGAAGGGTTGGCCCTGGGGCTAGTGCCACTTGTGCAAAATGAGGAACTTCACATTATCAGTCCCGGGGTGGGTGGGAGCGGGGGTGCGGGGGGCCCTCCGGCCGGCTCAGTCCCCTCCCCACTCCCCAACTCTGCCCGACGCTCCGACCCCAGCGGGGAGATTCACAGTGAGAATGGGTGTGGTCGCAAGGGCCGGAGGTAGGGCTAGGAGTGCCCCGACAGTGACACCCCTCCCCCTCTAAGAGCAGCGCGGAGCCGGGGGAGGGGGCCGACGAACCACAGGAAGAGGCGGGAGGGGCCTGGGGTCTCCTTTGGTCAAAGCTGATATCAAAAATATAAATTTCCCTTACCCCATCCCACCCCCGTCCCGGGGTTCTCCCCCGACCCCCGAGCTAAGGCACGAAGCAGTGAGGCCAGGTGAGGCCGCCGAGAGGTGGAGCCGCCACTGTGGCGACGCTGCGGTTGTCCCGGGCACAGTGGGCCCTGCGCGCCGCCCCCGCCGCTCCCTGGGGTGCGGGCCAGGGCCGCGCAGCAGCGACAGAGCGGGCTGGCGAGGGGCGCTCTAGGTGGGAGAGAAACGGTCGATGGTCCGGCCGTCGGGCCCGGCCGCCAGGTGAGCGCCCTGGCTCAGCACCTCGGCCGCCTTGTCGGGGCTGAGGCCCAGCTCGGCCGTGAACTTGGCCAGCGGGTAGAGGCTCTCCAGCGCCACCTTGGGGTCGTGCAGGAAGTGCGTGGTCTGCGCCAGCAGCTCGGCCGCGGCCGCCTTGTCCTGCTGCTTCAGGCTCAGCTGCTCGGCCGTGAGGCGAGCCACAGCAAAGACGCCCTCGGGGAAGTCGAGCTTGCCCTTGCCGTCGGGGCCGGGGACGCCGGGGAGCCCCCCCAAGCCCGCCAGCGCCCCGGCCGCGCCGGCCGCGCCCCCCACGGCGTGCATCTTCATGTGGCTGATGAGGTTGCGTTGCTGTGCGAACTTGCCGCCGCACACCTGGCACTCGTAGGGCTTCTCGCCCGAGTGGATGCGCATGTGCTCCGTGAGGCGGTACTGGCGCGTGAACCGCATGCCGCACGCGTCGCACGCGAAGGGCTTGAGGCCCAGGTGGCTGCGCATGTGGCGCGTCATGGTCCCACGCTGCGTGAACTTCTTCCCGCAGATGGTGCATGGGTAGGGCCGGGTCAGCCAGTGCGTCTTCTCGTGCTGCCGCAGCGTGGCCGGGTCCTTGTAGCTCTTGTCGCACGACGCGCAGCGGTAGGGCCGCAGCAGCTCTCCCAGGCCACCCGGAGCCCCGGCGACCTTGTCCCCGCCGCCTCCAAAAGGGGGCCCTAGGCCGGCGGCCCCAGCGGCCACTTCGGCCGCCTCGGCCCTGCCGTACAGCGCTTCCTCCTCCTCCACGTGAGCCTCCACGTGCGCGTTCAGCTGCTCAGAGCTGGGGAAGCCCTTGCCGCACGGAATGCACACGTACAGGTTGTCACCGAAGCTCTCGGGCTCGCCATAGGCCAGGTGCGGGCATGGGTAGCCCTCGAGGTGGCCGCCAGGCGGGCTGGGGTCCTCGCTGCTACCGGTCTCCTCGCTGCTGCTCTTGTAGTCGTCGCCGTCGCCGCCCGCGCCGGGCCCGTCCAGGCTGCCAGGGTAGCGCGGCGGCGGCGCCAGGCCGAGCGGGGGCCCCCCGGGCGAGACGGCCGCGTCCCCACCACGCTCTTCGCAGCGCTCGCTGGGGGAGCCGCGCTCCCGGCCCAGCTCGTCGCCATAGCTACCCAGGCCCGGCTCGTGCTTCATCCAGCGATAGAGGAGACTAGGCCCGTCGGGGCGGCCGGGGGGCTCGGGTCCCGGGCTGCCGCTGCCGCCGCGAAATGGGTCGGAAGGCGGTGCGGCCTCCTCCAGCTTCTGGAAGGGCAGCGGCGGCAGCGACGGCAGGGCGAGAGGCGGCTCCTTGTAGGCGGCGGGGCCGGCGCTGGGAGGGCTGTCCGGGCGCGGGGGCAGCTCGCGCTCAGCCAGCGGCCGCTCTGGCGCCGCGGAGCCCGGCGGGCTCTTCTTGGACAGGTCCAGGCCACAAAGAGGGGAGCAGCGGCGCTCCGAGGCACAGAGTGCGGCGGCCGGGCCGGGTCCCGACGCGTACAGCTCGGCGCAGTGCGTGTTGACCGCGGCCTCTGGGCCCGAGGGCGGCTCCGCGGCAGGCGGCGGCGGAGGCCCGACTGGGGACGGGTAGCAGGCCTGGATGACCGGCGTGGCGGCCCGCAGGCCCCGGCCCGGCCGACCATAGGGCGCGTAGCCGCCGCCGCCGCCGCCGCCGCCCCGCAGGTGGCAGTACTTGCCGTGGCGCTTGAGGCGTTTCTTGCACAGCGCCACGAGGTCGGGGATCTGCAGGTAGCTGGCGGCGGCCAGCACGGCGCCCAGGCTCGGCTCAGCCCCCGGGGCCACGGCCGCGGCCGCAGCCGCCTCTGCGCCGTCAGCCAGGCGGCCGGTGTAGATGAAGTCCAGCACCAGGCGGAACACGGCCGGGCTCACCATGTCATGGTCCAGGTTGAGCAGGTTGTCATGCACCACCAGGGACTTGAGGTAGGCGCTGCTGGCCGCCAGCACGTTCTTGTGCGCGCGGAAGAGGGCGTTCTGCACCACGATGATCACGTCGCACAAGAAGCCCTTGGTGCGCTGGTTGTTGAGCTGCAGCAGCAGCTGCCTGGAGTGGCCGGGCGCCTCCATCGTGTCCAGCATCGTCTGCCCAGCACACTCTCCTGCGGGGACACACACCGGCCGGGTGAGAGCCGTGCGGCGCCCTGGCCGCCTGGCCCCAGCCCGGCACTTCTCCCCTCCACTTCCCCTTCCCTCAGCTGAGCGGGGGCATCAGCCCTGCGGCCTGGGCACCGGCGAAGGACCGGCTGCCCTCTGGAGTGGGAGCCCAGGCCGGCCCGCCCGGACCAGGAGAAGGAGCAGGAGGTGAGCGGCCGCCGGTGGAGGGGAGGCCAGGGCGGCCTGCACGCCCCAGGGCACCTGGCTGGGTGCTGGGGCTTCCGAGAAGAAAACTGTTCAGGCGCAGTGACCCTTTTGGAGACAGTTACCCGATTTAAGTAAAATGTCCGCTTCAGGAAAAGTCATTCAGGGCGGAGAACTTTACCCAAGTAGGGAGAAAGGGAGCCGAGGAACCAGCGCCTCCCGCCTCGGGAGAAGTTGCCCCAGTTGGGGGAAGTGATACGGAGGAGGGGAGCGCGGTGCCCGCCCTGGCGCCGCCCTGGCCGGGGGCTGTCAACCCTCGGTCGGGGCCCGGGCGGCGGCCGCGCGGGGAGCGGAGGCAGCGGCTGCCGTGGCGGGCAGAGCGCGAAGGCCGGGCCCGGCGCGGGGAGGGCGTTATATCGGGGCAGGAGGCTGAGGCAGGAAGCAGGTGGGGGGGAGGGGGGAGCCACGCAGCTCCCAGGGGAGGGAGGGGGCAGCGCCCCGGGCGGGCACGGCGCACAGCCGGCTGCGGCCCTGACCCGGGCCTGCGCCCCACCCGCGTCCCGGCCTCGGCCTGGGCCCTACACGCGCGGGCCCGGCGCCTCCCTCCGCGGCTCCCCCGGCCCCTTCTCCCCCGGAACTCCGCCGCCCCAAACTTGGGGAAAAGTTTTCCAACTGCAGACAGGGCGGGAGGAGTGCGCCGGCCCCAGGCCCTCGGCTCGCAGCTCTTCCTCGCGGCCCCCAAATCCGGCGGCAGAGCCCGGAGCCGAGCCCTGAGCTCCCCTGCCCGCTGCTCGCCCGCCCGACCCCGTTCCCCTCCTGGCCCGCGGGGCCCCGCGGCCCGTTACCTGCGGTCCCGGCGGGCCGGGCTCCCCTCCCCGCGGCGGTGGCAGCTCTTAGCCGATGCCCCACCCGCCGCTGCCAGGCCCCGAGCTGTGCCAGGGCAGCGCCCCTGCCAGCCCCGCCCGCCAGCTCCCCTTCCCTTCCCTTCCCCTCGCCTCTCCAGCCCATGTGCGGGCAGAGCCGGCCCCGGGCCGCTGACCCCGCCGTGAACCCGGCGCGGAGCCGCGGCCCGGTGGTCCTGAGTCCGAAAGGGACGACACCCGGAGCCCTGAACGCCAGCCGCCAGCCGCGATGGGGCACCCGCGCCAGAAGATGCACCCGAGGCGGCCGACGCACGAGGACCGGGCTGTCCCGGGTCCCCCGTCCCTCCCGGTCCCCGGCTCGAGGACCCACCTGGGGGGCATGTCGAAAGCCCCGGGCCCGGCTGACGGCGGATCCAGGGGGGACGTGGCTGCGCTGCCCTCCGCCCGCCGGGCCCCCGGTCGGTCTGTCCTGCTGGTCCGTCCTCCCCGCGTCCTGGTCGCGTCTCAGCCCCGCCGCGCTTTCCGCACACTCTTATCTGGAGCGGCCCGGGCCGGCGGGCGCTGCTGCGGCTATGGCGCCACCTCGCGGGCGCGCAGGGCTCTGCGCGGCAGGCCGCTGCCTTCCTCCCGCGCACCTGAGCTGGAGGCGCACAGATGCTGAGCCCGCGGGGAGGGGCCCACCCTACCCGCAGGTTCGCCCTCCCACCTGTACCCACCTGGGACCCCGACCCCGGACACGCGAGTCCCAGAAACCCTGGGGCTTTGAGCTGAGCGCTCCCATGTACGTATTTCTAGGCACACAGCCCCAGTTCGGAAAAGTCCTGCCCGCGAGCACGGGACTCGGGTGGTGGGGGAGAGGTTATCCTGCGCAGGAGTAGCCGAGCTCTCCTGGAACTCCCCGTAGACATTACTGTACGGCACTGTCCACTTGGACGCACTCCCCAACACACCCACCCTCACTCAGGCGCATGGATTCGGTGTGCGCGGCATAAACTGATTTGTCCCCAGCCCTATCCAGGCACTGATACTAACAGGCGCTCATGTTTCCAGAAGCACACCCGCCCCTTCCCGCAGCCCTAGCGCTCTGGGATACTCCAGGGGCAGCCACGTAGGGCCCTCCGGGAACCTGGGCAGAGGTGTTACCCACACAGCCCGCCCTGAACTTTCGGGTCTCCTAAAGGAACCCACGACGAGTCATCAGGGCGACTGGAAGTGGCTGGACAGCGCCTCCGGGGGGTCCAAAGAAGTAACCATGGGGCCCTAGAATCCCCCTGTACGCCGTTTTGAAGAATCCCGCGTGGACTTCTTCTCCAACCCACCCGCCCGAAGGAAACAACAGGGGCGCCTGCGGCTGGGACCCCGCAAGGTCCCGCGCCCCACGTGAAGGTCAGGTTTGTGTGGGTGACGTCTCTTCTGGGAGAAAGGGGACCCCGCACTGTCGCGCCGCTGCTCGCAGTACTACTCCGGAAGTGGCCCCGTGCAGCCCCGCCGCGCACCAAGCCTCCTGCGAACGCCGGATCTCCGCGGCCCACGCTCCGCCTCCGCCCCGCACCTCCTGACCCCCGCCCACACACGGCGTGGAGCGGGGGGGGGGGGGGTCCCCGAGAACTCCGCCGCTTCCGATTGGCTGCGCCTCCCTCCACCGCGGAGCGCGAGGGGCTGGGGCGCTGCGTTACCATGGCAACCGGTGAGGTGCGCCCAGATCCTGTCCCTCCGAGGCCTTGGAGAGCTTAGCAACCGCGCTCGCCGCCCCCCGCGCTGTCCTCTGGCCCCCATGGCCCCGCCAGAGGTACCGGCTGAGTCACCGGGCGAGGGGCAGCGGGCGCGGCTACCAGCGGCCCCCGAGCGACACCAAGGTCTCGGGCGCCCCCCGGAGGCTCCCTTTGCTGCGCAGGCGACTTCACGGCTTCGGTGCCTGGCGGAGGCTTCGGTCCAAACGAGTCCGCCTGATTCCCGCCGCTGCCTGAGTCCGCCCCATGTTCTGGATCCATCTTACCCACTCCCTCTCCCATGTCTCCCCATAGCATCCTCACTTTAGAAGCAGTGAGGTCCCAAAGAGGAAAACGGAGGCCTCCGGAGCTGCCGGTCTCTAGGGAAGGCGGACCCCGACATCTCGCCCGAGGGACGTGCTGCGGCCTGAGGTGGAAGTTACGGAGTGTTGAGGGGAGGTGGAGAGGCTCCTCATAAGTGCTCCTAGAGCTGGGCTTTGACGGATGAATAGGAGTTCTTCTACCGAGCAGGAAGGCATTTGTGAATAACAGAATCCCTGGAACAAAGGCTAGCGGCAAGAAAACTGGAGCTCTAGTAGGCCAAATCCAGACTATGCAGGGCCTCTCTGACCCCATCTCTTTTATCTTTTCTCTTTTTGATAGAGTCAGATCCCCCACCCCCGACTTCCAAAGAGCCCCTCCGCCCCATGTATCTTGTGCAGTGGAGTCTGTGCATTGCTAACCTGCCCCAGGGGTCTGCTGTGCCCACAGTCTTTATTCTTCAGCGTTCCCCCACATCCGCTCCCCAAGTTAACTTACTGCCCCTAACCCCATCCTCAAGCCCTCATTGCTTCTGTAAGGGAGGGTCTCACAGCCCTGCCCCAGCCCAGGCCCCTAACCCCATCCTCAAGCCCTCATTGCTTCTGTAAGGGAGGGTCTCACAGCCCTGCCCCAGCCCAGGCCCCTAACCCCATCCTCAAGCCCTCATTGCTTCTGTAAGGGAGGGTCTCACAGCCCTGCCCCAGCCCAGGCCCCTAACCCCATCCTCAAGCCCTCATTGCTTCTGTAAGGGAGGGTCTCACAGCCCTGCCCCAGCCCAGGCCCCTAACCCCCTCCTCAAGCCCTCATTGCTTCTGTAAGGGAGGGTCTCACAGCCCTGCCCCAGCCCAGGCCCCTAACCCCCTCCTCAAGCCCTCATTGCTTCTGTAAGGGAGGGTCTCACAGCCCTGCCCCAGCCCAGGCCCCTAACCCCCTCCTCAAGCCCTCATTGCTTCTGTAAGGGAGGGTCTCACAGCCCTGCCCCAGCCCAGGCCCCTAACCCCATCCTCAAGCCCTCATTGCTTCTGTAAGGGAGGGTCTCACAGCCCTGCCCCAGCCCAGGCCCCTAACCCCCTCCTCAAGCCCTCATTGCTTCTGTAAGGGAGGGTCTCACAGCCCTGCCCCAGCCCAGGCCCCTAACCCCCTCCTCAAGCCCTCATTGCTTCTGTAAGGGAGGGTCTCACAGCCCTGCCCCAGCCCAGGCAGGGTGAGGACCGCCTTGCCCTCCTGTGCACTTCACTCTTCGACCTTTCTCTCCCTGCCCCGCTCTTCCGGCCATGCCTTGCACAGCCCTCCCCATCCTGGTCCAGCTCCTCGTCTGAACACACTCCTCTCATTTAGACCCTTCCTCCATCTCGATGGAGCCAGGCTGGGCCAGGACCATGCATTTCCCCGCTCCCAACCAGGGGAACTGCCCCACAAGTCATGGGCTCTCCCTGCCAATTCTGGTCTCCGGGAACATTAACTTCTCCAGGAAACCGTCCTCCTCATCCCCTGGGGGCCCCTCTTGGCCAAGCTGCTGGTCTCCTTCACTCTCTATTACCCTAACGTGAGCTCTGGGAGCGTCCATCGTGCCACAAATGGTCCGAAGGTGGGTCCTGGATGCCAGGCTCTGGAGCGTGGCACTGACAGCCTTTCCTCTCTCCCTTGCTGAGGCTGCCCATTCCTCTCACCCCTACCTCTGGCGCGTTCCCCCAGCTCCCTCATAGAGGATCCCGTTGCTCATCATTTCTGGGGAGGTTGGCCCACCTTCCCCAACTTCTCTGCCGTCCCTCGGGTCTCCAGCTCCTGGGTGGTACCTGAATCCCCGCTGGGCCTTCCCTCCCAGGCCCAGGTTCCTCCGCTAAAGACTCCTGGGCTACTTTGGGCTCCCCTACTCTTCTTCTCCCGGCCCCCGACGCCACAGCCCTCGCTGCGCCCCAGGCCCCCACGGGAGTCCAGCTTCCTCTCCTGCCCACCCTGCAGGACGAGAGGGTGGCGACACCGCAGTGGCCTTGCGGGGTGTGACGGCAGAAACGTCAGGTCCAGGAACTGAGGAGGGGGAAGGGGCTGCCACGTGAAGACCCCCAGGAGCCGCGGGGCTCCGGAAGGAGAGCGTGAATAAGCTCGAAGGGCCCGCCGCGCCCCTCCGCGCCGCCTCCCCGGCCCCAGGCCCGCGGTTCCGGAAAGTTAACCCCTTGTCGGCTGGGCAGGGGCGCGGCTCCCCCTACCCCGCCGCCGCTTCCGCGCCCCCTCCTCCCCTCCCGGTCGCCTCGGTCCCCACCCCCCGCCTCGCCACTATAAATAGCCCCTTTTCCCATTTCCTAAATTCCCCGCTGACGTCGGCAGCGCGTCAGTGTGTAGGAGCCGCGGCCGCATGAATGAGCCGCCGCACGAGTACTACGCGCGCCTATAAAAGCCGCCGCGCCGGCCAGGCTGCGGGAGGCGACCGGGCAGTGGCGACGCGGCCCGCCAGGTAAGCGGGACGGACCAGCCGCGGAGGGACAGATGTGCGGACACGGACGGGAGGACGAGGAGGGGACGGGCAGGCGGCGGGTGGGGCGGCCCCTCCGGGGTGGGGATGGGGGCGGACGGGGGGCACCGGGGTCCCCTCGCGGCTGCGGAGCCGGGGCCAGAGACGACACGAGCCCGCGCAGCACCTGCCGGCGCCCGATGGACACGCAGCTACTTCGGAGGAGCATCGAGTGGAGGACCGACCTCGGAGACCCCCCCCCGGCTTTCTTGGGGCTCCTGCGCCATTCTCCCAGGAAAGTGAGGCGAAGGTGCTGGCGCCCCAGGAGACGCGCCCCCTCCTCTCCCTCCCTGCGGCGCGGTGACTCAGCCTCGCTGCCCGGGCCGGCTGAGCGGGGGTGCAGGCGAGAGACGGACGCCCACCCCCGCTTCCCCGGCCCTCCTGGGACCCCCGCCCCGCATGGCGTCGGGCGCCCCTTCCCGGCAGGTCCCGTCCAGCGGGTCCCGCGGCGCCCACGGCTTCCCGCCTCTGCGAGCGGAGCTGTCCTCTCAGGACCGGGGGGGCGGGGCCTCCCAGGTCCCGCCCCGCCCCCACGCCCCCGCCGGAAGTGCCCCCTCTGGGACATCTTTGACGTCACGGCCCTCTGACGTCAGGGGCCGCGTGCCTGGTCGCGAGCGCCGGGCGGGGCAGGGCGGGAGACGCAGGGGAGGCGGAGCAGCAGAGCCCCCAGCCGGGGCAGCCGGGGCGACCGGGGCACCCCGCCCGGACAGCGCGCCGGCACCTTGGCTCTAGACTGCTTACTGCCCGGGCCGCCCTCAGTAACAGTCTCCAGTCACGGCCACCGACGCCTGGCCCCGCCCCAGGACCGCGGCCCCGGCCGCCGCCGCCGCGCCCGGGGACCCCCAGTCCCCGTCCCTCAGGGCCCCGCCCCCGGCCCGCTGCCTGCGCCGCCGCTGTCCGCGGTGCTGATCAACGCAGGCGCCGCCATCGGGCCGCCCCGTCCGGGTCCCTAGGGGCTGCGAGGGGCGGTGGCCCACGCGCGCTCCTCAGCCCCCGCCGCCCCGCCCGCCCCCCCGCGGCCCTGACGTCAGCCCGCCCCGCGCCGGCGCCGTCCGCGCGCCCCGCCCCCGCGTCTCCAGGGCAACCGTGGCTTTCGATTGTTACTGTGGGAACTGGAGGTAACAGTCTACAGCCATGGTCGCCCCGCAGCACGCCCACGCGCCGCGCCACGCCGCGCCCCGAGCCGCGGGCTGGGGACGCGGAGCAGAAGGAGGCGGGGGCGGCGAGTCAAGATCCCACGTGCCCGCGCGGGTGGCAGGAGGTGCTGCGCAGGGAGGCGGCCTCCCGGGGCCGGCGGCTGAGTCCACCGAGGCTCGAGCGCGCGCGTCCTGCGGAGTGCGTCTGGCGGCCAGCCTGAGGCCGTCCTGTCCTCCCGGCCAAGGTATCCCAGCCAGGGCTCGGCGAGAGAAGGGGTCGGGCTGGGACTCGGGTTCTTTCGATTTCGGTGAGAGGGAAGCCACTGGGACCAGGAGGCTTGGAAGGAGGTTTGTCTCCTGGGGCCTGAAGACAGTAGAGGGAGGAAAGTTTTCTGAGATACTCCACAGCCCCGTTCTTCCAGGAACCCCTAGCTGAAGTGGGCATTGGGCGAAGAGTAAACTCTTGAATCTTTCCCTCTGAGCTAGGAGGATAAGAAGGGTCCCCAACCCTCTGGAAGCCAATGAGCTTGTAAAGTTAACCTGGTCCGCGAAGCGTCTGAACAGATCAGCCTGCTCACCTCAGCCTATCTCTAGGTGCTGGATTCCAATCTGAGACAGTTTCTCAAATTAGCCCTAAAGAGGAGTGAATACCACAGGGGCTGAAGTCCTCTGGTGCGGATGAAGTGTGAACAAGGATCTCTAAAAATATTATTGTATATGTCGCCTGCCTCTGCCAACATCACCCACTACAGGGGATGTCTATTGAATATCAGGTGTGAGACTTCCCCAGAGATAGTGTTGGGAATGGTTAATGCAACCCAGCCCACGACACGTTAATCCAATTTTTCTTAACGTCTCACGCCCCACCCCCTCCTTCACTCCCCACCCGGCTCCTTTGTGAAGTACTTCTAAGACACTCGTGCCGGTTTCCCAGTTAATCAACACCCACATGCTAGCCATCCCACCTCCCCAGGGCCCCGAGGTCTTGCAGATTAAAACGCACTTGCTTCTGGGTTCCAGGGGATGTCAGTGGGTGGACTGCAGTGGACTGCTGGGTGTAGTGCTCTGGGAAGCCAGAGGTCCAACCTGGCATTATCAGCAACTGGTGGTTAAGGGGCCATATTCTGTTTCTGAGCTTTCTGTAAAACGGGATAATAATCTCTTCTCCTCGGCAGGTGCACTGTGAGGATTAAATAGGATCATGTAAGTAAAAATCCAAAAACAGCAGAATGTTATTTTGATCTTAAGTATTCTGTTAGGCTACTACATGTTTGTGAAGGGGTGGTGTTGGGAGGGGACCCCAGCTCTGTGCACTTAGGCAGAATGAACGGGATGTGGGGGGTACACCTTGAGCTTTAGGCTATATATATTTATTGTCTAATATATATATAATCTATATTATATATATGTTATACATACATATACTTTTATTTTTTTTCTTCTGAGACAGTCTCGCTCTGTCGCCCAGGCTGGAGTGCAGTGGCACTATCTCGGCTCACTGCAACCTCCGCCTCCCGGGTTCACTCTGGGCCTGGGGCTGTTGAGAGGTTCCTTGCTAAGGGGGTTCTCTCTCCTAAGAGCTCTAGGAATCCAAGGTGGAATCAGAGGTGGAAAACAGAAATGGTTGGGATATTCTGAGAAGAGGTCAGAATGTGGTCAGAGGGGAAAGAACCAGAGGATTGACCGTACGTCAGGGTTGTTTAGCATCTTAGAAATCATTTAGGGCAGGGCACAGTGGCTCACGCCTGTAATCCCAGCACTTTGGGAGGCATAGGTGGGAGGATCTCTTGAGCCCAGGAGTTCGAGACCAGCCTGGGCAATACAATGCGACTCCCATCTCTACAAAAAAGAAAGAAAGGAAAGAAGAAAGGAAAGAAAAGAAAGAAAATTAGTTGTGCACACCTGTAGTCCCAGCTACTTGGGAAGTTGAGGTGGGAGGATTGCTTGAGGCTGGGAGGTTGAGGCTGCAGTGAGCTGTGATTGCACCACTGTACTCCAGCCTGGATGACAGAGTGAGACCCTGTCTCAAAAAAAAAAAATCATTATTTAGGGCTGGGAGACATGGCTCATGCCTGTAATCACACCATTTTGCGGGGCGGGGCAGAGGCTGGAGGACTGCTTGAGCCCAGAAATTCGAGACCAGCCTGGGCAACATAGTGAGACCCCATGTCTTAAAAAAAAAAAAGCCAGTGTGATAGGTGGCACCTGTAGTCTCAGCTAAGCTACTCAGGAGGCTGAAGCGGGAGGGTCACTTGAGCCGAAGAGGTCGAGGCTGCAGTGAGCCATGATCCTGCACCTGGTGACAGAGGTAGACCCTGTCTTAATAATAATCCAGCCTGGCCAATATGGTCAGACTCCGTCTCTACTAATAACACAAAAAATTAGCCAGCCATGGTGGTGCTTGCCAGTAATTCCAGCTGCTTGGGAGGCTGAGGCACTAGAATCACTTGAACCCAGGAGACGGAGGTGCAGTGAGCCGTGATCGTGCCACTGAACTCCAGCCTGGGTGGCTGAGTGACACTCCGTCTCAAATAATAATAATAATAATGGTACCTACCTCATGAAGTTGTGAGATTAAACATGAAGTTGTAAGGTTTAAGCTATATATATTTATTGCCTAATATATATAAAATATATATGTGTTATATATATATAATTTTATTTGTTTTTTTCTTCTGAGATGGAGTCTTGCTCTGTTGCCCAGGCTGAAGTGCAGTAGCATGATCTCGGCTCACTGCAACGTCCGCCTCCCAGGTTCAAGCAATTCTCCTGTCTCAGCCTCCTGAGTAGTTAGGACTACAGGTGTGTGCCACCACCCCCAGCCAATTTTTGTAGTTTGTTTTTTTTTCTTTTTTTTTGGAGACAGGGTCTAGCTCTGTCTCCCAGGCTGGAATACAGTGGCACAATCACAGCTTACTGCAGCCTCAAAACTCCTGGGCTCAAGTGATCCTCCCACCTGAGCCTCCCGAGTAGCTGGGACCACAGGTGCATGCCACCACACCCAGCTAACTTTTAAATTATTTGTAGAGAGGGGGTCTCACTATGTTTCCCAGGCTGGTTCTGAACTCCTGGGCTCAATTGATCCTCATGCCTTAGCCTCCCAAAGTGCTGGGATTATAGGCATGAGCAATCGCACCTGGCCCTAAATTAGGCCGCATTAAAGCTCTTGCTTATTACAATGTCTGGTATACAGTTATTACTCAATAAATGCTCTTCTGGCCGGGTGCAGTGGCTCACACCTGTAATCCCAACACTTTGGGAGGCTGAGGTGGGCGAATCACTTGAGATCAGGAGTTCAAGACCAGCCTGGCCAACATGGCGAAACCCTGTCTCTACTGAAAATGCAAAAATTAGCTGGGAGTGGTGATGCACACCTGTAATCCCAGCTACTCTGGAGGCTGAGGCAGGCGGATCGCTCGAACTCAGGAGGCGGAGGTCGCAGAGAGCGGAGACTGTACCACTGCACTCCAGCCTGGGTGACAGAGCGAGACTCCGTCTCAAATAAGTAAGTAAATAAATAAATGCTATTCCTATTTCTATCCTTCAGACCTAATTTTCCTTTGCTATAAATTGAAAATGTTTAAGCAGTGATTGTTCTGGGGAGCTTGCTCCCCTCCCTGGTGGGTTGCAAGAGAGTCACACTAGGGGTTTTTCAGATAACACACCCTCACCCGAGGCTTTCATTCAACCCCTAAGGCAGTGGCTTTTCAAATCCCTGCTTGGGAATGATGGGGGCAATTTGCCAAAATGCAGATTCCTGGGTCCCAGTGATTCTGACTCAGTACATCTGGAGTTGGCCCCAGAATTCAAGTTGGTTTTTTGAGATGGAGTCTCACTCTGTCACCCAGGCTGGAGTGCAGTGGCACAATTTCGGCTCACTGCAACCTCCGCCTCCTGGGTTCAAGCAATTCTCCTGCCTCAGCCTACCAAGTAGCTAGGATTACAGGTGCATGCCACCACGCCCAGCTACTTTTTTTTTTTTTTTTTTTTGAGACAGTTTCGCTCTCGTTGCCCAGGTTGGAGTGCAATAGCGTGATCTCGGCTTACCGCAACCTTTGCCTCCCAGGTTCAAGCAATTCTCCTGCTTCAGCCTTCCAAGTAGCTGGGATTACAGGCATGCGCCACCATGGTTGGCTAATTTTGTATTTTTAGTAGAGACAGAGTTTCTCTCTGTTGGTCTGGCTGGCCTCAAATTCCCAACCTCAGGTGATCTGCCCGCCTCCGCCTCCCAAAGTGCTGGGATTACAGGCATGAGCCACCACGCAGGGCCAGAATTCAGGTTTTAACCAATGTTCTGGATGTAAATGGTACACAGAATCTGCGTATTGGGGGTGGGGAGGGGCACAACCCCCTAAGAGTCTCTCTTGCTCCTGGACGGCATGATGGGAAGTGACCTGTTCCACTTGTCGAGAACTAGTGGACCCCATGTTTCCCTCTAGCTTGGACACTATGGTTCTCAGGAGGAATCCTCACCCCCGGCCAGGAGCCCTTCTCCTCCACCTACTACTGCTGGGCTCTACCTCCCCCACTTTTAATTTTAAGCCTTGGCTCAAAATTCACTCCCCAATATTTCTCCCCTTCTCTCTACTTTCGTCCTCAATAATCCCAAGCAGCTGGGGTGTACAAGTCGTTTTCACCTCTTGGGACCGTGCTAAAGGGGGCAGCCTATGATTACCATGAGGGTATGGGAGCCCTGAACTGCAAATCTATCATTTCCAGAGAAGCCAGAAATCTGAAATTTTCTGTGCAATTTCTGAAACTTTAAATCAGAATTTTTTCTAAAATTCAATGGGTCAGATACCACAGTCTGTGTAATCAATCCATTCCAAAGTCTCCTCCTTTTGCTAAAGGAGAAGATTCCTTAAAACAAGGCAGAAGCCAACTGAAGCAAGGGAGAACCACCTCCCACCCCTCCCCACACACACTTTCCACACCCAGTAACTAGGTCTCTGGGCGGATAATTCTGTTTTGTTTTGTTTTTTTTAATTTTGGACAGCTAATCTCTGTAGTGAGGAACCCAGAACTTTCGGTAATGTAAGGGATATTAGTCTGGTTGTCAGAAAAATGGGCTGGAGTATTTGTGCTGTGTCCCTGACCATAATTCCTGCTCAGTTGCTTAGCTCCCTGGCAACTATGTCTGAGGGCTAAACAGGAGTTGGTGTGATCTTCCAGAAAAAGAACAGGCTTCTTGTCTTGCAGAGGCAGGAAGTCAGAAAACAAGAGTGTGTGTGTGTGTGTCAGGGGGTGGGGGGTGTCAGGTGGCACTGGAAATGGGAGGGAACTCATTAAGAGTGGGCAATTGGCCAGGTGAGGTGGCTCACGCCTGTTAATTCCAGCACTTTGGGAGGCCAGGACAGGTGGATTGCTTGAGCTCGCAAGTTGGAGACCATCCGCACAACATGGTGAGACCCCTTCTCTACAACAAATACAAAAATTAGCCAGGCATGGTGATTTGCGCCTGCAGCCCCAGCTGCTTGGGAGGCTGAGGTGGGAGGATGGATGGCTTGAGCCCGGGAGGTGGAGGCTGTCAAGATTGTGCCACTGCACTCCAGCCTGGGTGATAGAGTCAGACCTTGTCTTTAAAAGTAAAGAAAACAAAAAAAGAGTGGGCAATCCTAGGTAGGTGCAGTGGCTCAGGCCTATAATCCTAGCACTTTGGGAGGCTGAGGCAGGTGGATTGTTTGAGCTAAAGAGTTTTGAGACCAGCCTGGGCAACGTGGCAAAACCCTATCTCTACAAAAAAATATAGAAATTAGCCAGGCGTGGTGGCGCATGCCTGTAACGCCACCTACTCAGGAGGCTGAGACAGAACTGCTTGAACCCAGGAGGCTGAGGTTGCAGTGAGCCAGGATCTTGGCCACTGCTCTCCAGCCTGGGTGACAGAGTGAGCCTGTCTCAAAAAAAAAAAAAAAAAGAGTGAGCAATCCTCAAAGTATCCAAGAACAACTACACGCCCCAAGGGGAAAACCAGCTGGATTGCTTAGGCCTTGGCTGTAGTCACTAAAGAATGGCATCAATCTCAGAAACCCTCAAGATGGGGTCAATTTAGGAAGAAGCTGTTTATTCTGTACTGTCTTTGGCCTCCACCTAAGGTCTGGCATCGACCCACCCTTCAGGCTCATAGTTCAGCGAGGTTAGAGCACTTAGGGAGAAGCAGGTAACACATCCAGGGTTTGAGAGAAGACCAGCACACAACTCTCAGTGATCTGGATAGAGGAAGACTAAATTACTGTGGTTCAGGCAGCCTTGCCAGGTGATGTCTTCCCAAAACTTCTCAGATGTATATTCCTCCCTGATTGTGCCACCTAGGCCTCCTTCCCTTCAGTTTGGGACTTAAAACTTCCACCAATAACGTGAGTATGTGCACCCATGCAGCAGCCTGTCCGAGGACTCACAACTGGAGACACCTCCCTGCTTGGCGCTGCCCAGAAAACTATGTAGATGGCCAAGAAACCGACTTCCATTATAAAATGTTTTTCTGTGTGTACCAGGAAAAAGATGCTCAAAATCCAAATCACCACTTTATTATGTGGCAGTCACCATGGTGCCAGCCTCTGCCTTCCCCATGTCACCCTCCTAATCCAGGGCTCTCCAACCATATTCATGTTTGCGTTTTCACAAGTCAATGTCCATTAAGGCCTTGTGCTCCCCTTTTCTTCAGTACAGGGCAGGGCCCTTATAATTTGGGTCTCAAGAATTGATAGTTGTCTCTTAACTGGTTCTGGTGAGGCGCACTCACAGCAGTGAGTGGAGGGTCCTGGGAGGGCATGGATGACGGAGGCTGCCCCTAGAGGAGCTGGATGTAGGAGCAGAGACATTTCTTGATCTTTCACTCTGCAAACTGGTCCAAGAACTTGAGGTAGGCCTGACGCTGGGGTGCAGCTGCTGGAATGAAGTGGCCACCAGAGTGGGTGAGGGTGATGGCTCCGGGAAATTGGCTGGCCAGTTGCACACTCTCCTGAGAGGGGATGACTTTGTCAGTGTCCCCAAAAACATGGAGCGAAGGCAATGACAAGGGCCTTTGCAGGATGGATTCCTTGAACCCAATGCCCCGGGGACAGAAACCAGACACCAAGAGGATAAACCGTGGCAAGGGGAAGCGGGGATCGCCTGCCTGGCCCAGGGCACACACAAGGGCTGCTAGCGCAGCCCCTTGGCTGAAACCAAGAAGGCCGTCAAAAGGCCCCAGCCTGTTCAGTGCCTGTGCCACCATCCCCAGTGATTCCTCCAGGCCCCTGCAGACGGCGGGCTCTTCCAATGCGGAGAAAACGTCGGCCTCCTGCTCTGAAAACCACCAGCCTCGAGGCTGCTCCTCCGGAGGGCAGGACCCTACAGCGATATGAGGAAAAAGGATGGGATTAGGGCATGGGAGGCTCCAGGAAGGAAAGAAATGAGAAAGGGCAGGAGGGTTCGAGATGACAGAGAGAAAAAGGGAATCGAGGCAAAAGTCTGGGGGAAATGAGAGGGGGGAAATGAGTGGATTGGCCTGAACAGGAGACAGCGGAGGAAGACGGTGAAGGCGGAAGCCTGGGAGGACAGGCTGCAGTTTGAGCAAAGAGGGTATGGGTCGCGAGAAATGAAGGGTGTGGACTGGGTGGGAGGAATGCGGGTGGACGCAGGGTGGGGGATGCTGAAGGGTGTCGAGGGGGACGAAACAAGATGGAGGAAACTGAGTGCGTTTCCGGAGCGGGGCTTGTCTCACCGAAGTCTGATCTGGCGCCCTCGGGGCCCGGGGGGTCGGGGACCGGGTGCGGGCCGCTGAGGCACACGAGCTCGGCGCGACCCCGCAGCGCCTTCCTCAGCGCCCCGGTCTTCTCACGGAAGCCCCGCTCGCTCTGCCGGAAGCCCGCCAGGCACAGGACCCGCAGGGGTCGCTGCGCGGCCATTATGCCCGGCAAGGAGCGACGGAAGCACCGGAAGCGGTCTTTCCCCGAGCGGAAGCACAATGCACGGGGCGGAACCGAACGTCAGCACCGCCCCGAGGGCGGGCCTCGGAGCGCCAAGGCGTTCCCATGACAACGGCAAAAGGCGGGGCGCACCCAGAGCGGGGGCTGATACCTGAGGCCCGGGAGCGCGTCAAGGAGCCAGCGGCGCCACCTTCTCGTCCCTGCAGCTGCAGTCCTCGCAAGCCACGGCCGAAGGGGGACGCGCGGACCCCTCCTGCACCTGAGGTCGCAGACTTTGGTTAGGGTCTCGCTCCTGCGACCCTGCGTTTCCCTCCGCTCCGCTCCTGTGCGTTTCCCGTCGCGGTCGCAGGGCGGCGGCCAGTGCCCAGGCGCGGTCTCTCCTCCCTCCTGGAAGCCCCCGCCTACCTTCCCCCGCGCGGGCCGGCCCGGGGCGTGGGGACGGCGGTCCTGGCCGTGGTTCACCGTCCAGGGCCCCAAGGAGCTGCCAGCGTAGAAGTCCATCGGGTAGGGCTGCTGCCAGGAAATGTCCCTCAGAGCCACGGCCGCCTAGGGGAGGGGAGGGAGGGACAATAACATCTGCCAGTGTTTTTCTGCCCCTGGATTACTGAATTCAGTCCTCACGACGGCCTGTGAAGGGCACACTGTCCCCTGCCACAGAAGGGAACTGTGTGGTTCAGGGCCTTGCCTAAGGCTACACAGCTAGGAAGTGACTCCGCTGGAGAAATCGAGACAGACTCCGGAATCTACGAACATAACGAAGTGCTGCCCACCCACCCCACTCCACTCCAGACCTCACCTTTGAGAACCACGTCCAAAGCCCACTCTCTCCCAGAGCTTGGTGTTACCTCATAGGGTGTCAGCAGCGGCTTGGGGAAGGCTGTGCCCCAGTCAATGGAGAGACGTGGACATGCCACCTGCACCCACCTGGGAAGGGAAGCCAGGTCAGACCCTAGGAAGGGCCTCCTCGTCGCCCAGGCAGCATGCTGAAGAACATGACAGTGCCCCCAGCACACCCATTCATTAACAGGCTTTATGAATCCTAAAGTAAAGACAGTGACCCACTGCTGTTTGGAATACTGTATTGTTGCGTGTTTTCTCCTGTTTCCTCTGCCGACAATGAGCTTTCCAGGGCAGCTCACTGGTGATAGTATCCCCAGAACCACATTTAGTACCTGGTACAGGGCAGGTGTCAGCCACCGCTCAAACTCATCTCACAAGGACAAATGTGATGTTGCCATTGCCTCTGAGCCCCAAAGTCCCAAAGCAGGTATGACCCAGTTAGCCCTCCCAGGGAGGTCTCTGTAAACAGTAAAATTCCATGACCATGGAAGCAATTCCTGTTGGCTCCAGCCTTCAAGACGAGCTGGGCAAGACCCAGCTTCTAAGCTTCTTTAGCCAGTCATAGCCAGGCAGATACTCACACATCCACCTCAGGAAGTAGGCTAAGCTTGCTGGGGAAGATCTCAGAGAGCAGCAGCCTCACAAAGGAAAGGCCCAAGGCTCGGAGTCGAGATTCCAGGTGCTGTTGGGAGAGGGAGGCAGGGTGGGGGTCACCTGGTCAAGCAGCCAAAGCTGAACCTGTGGCCTACTGGTTTTCCCAGCTGTGTTCCCAGTCACTTCCCTCCTCCAGAGGCTGTCCTGAGCCCACTGACCTCCAGGATCTTAGGACTGCCCTGGCGGCCCAAAGTGCCCAGAATAAGGCCCCAGGACTTAGCTGAGCGGGCAGTGGCTATGGCTTCTTGGCGAGCAGCCTGCATGCGCTGGTGGTCATAGTGTTCTCTGGATAGGACTTTGCTATATGGGTCATACCTGGAAAAGAAGCAGTCAGGGTCACTGTGGCAGCCACTGTCAGGACCAGTATTATGCACACAGCTCCTGACTCAGCCCCGTGGGCTCCTGAACCTTTAGGCCCCACGCAGGTAATTAAGAACAGAGGCAAGAGCGGGGACTGTCATTAGGAAGACCTGTCCCACAGCTGGAGCAGACAAGAGTGGGCGGCTTTAAGATCTCCGTGTAAACCCCAGGAGACGGGTAGGCAACAGCAGCCCTGGGGCTAATGCCCAGATCCAGGGCCCAAGTGCCTCAGACCCTTAGGGCTGGTGGCTTAGTGGCCAGGAAATGGGGATGCAACCAATTGAGGACCTCAGTGGCAGGGAATCTCACCCCTCACCAGCTGGTCAGCCCAGCCCGGCCCAGCCCATACCGGTAAGCGGGGACATTGGGGTTGGCAATCATGACAGACTCCAGATGGAAGCGGCCATCTCCAAGATACCTGCAGGGGTGGAAAGGAGGCTAAGTGTGGTTTAGGGCAGCAGAAGAGGCACTCGCTGGCTTAGAAGTCCACAGGGCTGGCCGGGCGCGGTGGCTCACGCCTGTAATCCCAGCACTTTGGGAGACCGAGGCGGGCGGATCATGAGGTCAGGAGATCGAGACCATCCTGGCTAACACAGTGAAACCCCGTCTCTACTAAAAATACAAAAACTTAGCTGGGTGTGGTGACGGGCGCCTGTAGTCCCAGCTACTCGGGAGGCTGAGGCAGGAGAATGGCGTGAACCCGGGAGGCGTAGCTTGCAGTGAGCTGAGATCGCGCCACTGCACTCCAGCCTGGGTGACAGAGTGAGACTCCGTCTCAAAAAGAAAAAAAAAAAAAAAGAAGTCCACAGGGCTGCCAGGTGCAGTGGCTCATGCCTGTAATCCCAACACTTTGGGAGGCCGAGGCGGGTGGATCACGAGGTCAGGAGATCAAGACCATCCTGGCTAACACGGTGAAACCCTGTCTCTACTAAAAATACAAAAACTTAGCTGGGCGTGGTGGCGGGCACCTGTAGTCCCAGCTACTGGGGAGGCTGAAGCAGGATAATCACTTGAACCCGGGAGGCAGAGGCTGCAGTGAGCCGAGATCGCACCTCTGCACTCCAGCCTGGGCGACAGAACAAGACTCTGTCTCAAAAAAAAAAAAAAGTCCAGAGGACTGAGTTCACAGCTGGCTGTGCTGTGCCTCTGTGTAAACTGGGACAAGCCTTCACTTCACCTCTTGGAGCCTTGGTTTTCTCACGTGTGAAATAAGGAGTTTGAATTGGATGACTCTACGGTCCCTCTATTTACATAATGCAGAATCTAAGAACCGTCCCACCCCAAGCTTCTGAGGAAGAGTGAAGGAGCAGCCGGCCGTGGTGAGGCCACCTGGGGTTCTAGAGATCCTCATTTGGAAGTTGGGGAACAGATTCTCCTTCACAAGCTCAATACAGATGTGGACAGTAGTGTTCAAGGAGTCATCTACGCCAGCAGTAACCAATATTTTTGGCACTGGGAACAGGTTTTGTGGAAGACACGGGTGGGATTGGGGGATGGTTTCAGGATGAAACTGTCTCACCTCAGATCATCAGGCATTAGGATCTCATAAAGATCATGCAACCTAGATCCCTCGCATGTACAGGTCACGATAGGGTTTGAGCTCCTACAAGAATCTAATGCCGCGGCGGATCTGACAGGAGGCGGAGCTCAGGTGGTCACGCTGGCTGGCCCACCCCTCACCTTCTACTGTGCGGCAGGTTTCCTAACAGGACATGGGACCAGGGGTTGGGGACCTCTGATCTATGCTGTACATGAGGTTGCAGGGCATACAATGGCTACTTTCTGCCCAAACTAGCTCTTGGGGCCAGTTACTGAGTTATAACAAAAGCTACCGGATTTTCATTTTGTTTTTTTGAGGCAGGGTCTTACTCTGTCACCCAGGTTGAGTGACTCGGTCATGGCTCGCTGCAGCCTCAACCTCCCAGGCTCAAGCGATCCTCTCACCTAAGCCTCCTGAGGAGCTGGGACTACAGGCATGGACACTGTACCCAGCTAATTCTTTTTTTTTTTTTTTTTTTTTTTTTTGGAGAGAACAGGGTTTCATTATATTCCCCAAGCTGGTCTCAAACTCCTGGACATATGCAATTCTCCTGCCTTGGCCTCCCAAAGTGTTGAGATTACAGGCGTGAGCCACTGTGCCCGGCCAACAGCTACTGTTTATTGGACTTGTGCCTTCTGTGTACCAGGCATAGACTAAGTACCTGCTGTGAATTAGTTCACGCAGTCCTATCTCCTAATCCTCCCAGATACGTATAGTATACCTGTTTTACAGAAGGTAACAACTGAGGCTCAGGGATGTTAAGAAACTCGCCTAGTATTAAACAGCTAGGAAGCAGTGTGTCTGAGGCTCAACCCAGGCTGTACCAAGTGTGCCCCCAGACATGCTGTCCCTGACAGTAGCTTCCCAGCCCATGAAGATTACAGAGCGTGGAAGATAACCTGCCTGTGGCAGCTCCTTCTCTCCCTCTTGGAGACCACACTTCATTCTGATGAATGGCTAACACTCAGGGTGTCCCTCCCTCCAACATACACTTTGAAGACCCCAAGGGTAGAGACTGAGTGACGTGGGCACAGGGGGAATGCCACTCAGTGCTGCTCGGGGAGCAGGGCTGCCAGATCTGGGCTGGGGAAGGCCCTGATGTGGGCCTGTCTAGGGACAGGGGTGTCAGGCCTGTGGAAACAGCCTCCAAAGCCCCAGAGGTGGGACTGAGTCAGGGAGCGACCCTCCCTCCCTGCCATTAGTACGGAACGGGACTCCCTTCCCTAGTCCCAGTCGGGGGAGCCGTCGGCTCTCAGGCTGGCTGCATTCACACAACATTAAGCATTTCCATTACCTAAAATAATTAGGCGGCAGGAGACACGCTGCTTCTGCTTGTTAGCTGTCCGGATGGTAAATTAATGGGGCTGCAGCCTGGGCGTGCCCATCCATCTTCTCCAATTATATTCCCACCATTTCCAGCCCACCCTCAACCCCCATCAGGCCCTCTGATTCCTGCCCCCACCCTGCACAGCCTTCTGGATGATGGACTGGGCAGTGGAGAAAGCGACAGTAAACCTGAGGTCTGCTCCCTGTTTGGTCCCTACCTTGCAGTGTGACCTCGGGCTCACAGGTAAGGAGCATTAGATTTGGTTTCTTTCCTGGATGATGAACCTCAGGCTCCCTCCCAGGGTACACGCATGTCTCTAGGACTTACTTGGCCCCCATTTTTAACTTACACAACGGCCTCCACCTCTTTGGACAGTCGGGGGGATGTGCAGCCCAGGATCTCTCCAGGGGACAGGGGCTTGCACTGTGGGACACTCACACGATACTCGGCTTTCAGCTCCTGGGCGGCTGCCTGTAGGAATGACGAGGGAAGTGAAGCCAGCGGCTGGGGCAGGAGAGCCAGGGCTGAGAAACAGCCTGGAGCACCTGGGGATCCCGCAACAGCTGGAGAGTGGCCGCTGTCCACCCTGCAGGAGGCCGAGGATCCTCGTTCCACCCACCTGCAAGGTCGACACAAACTG
Organism: Homo sapiens; assembly: GCF_000001405.40. Lineage (NCBI taxonomy): Eukaryota > Metazoa > Chordata > Mammalia > Primates > Hominidae > Homo > Homo sapiens. The sequence continues at coordinate 2,036,665 of NC_000017.11, read as the reverse complement.
AATGGTGCTGACCAGGGCAAGGGCAGTGGCTGGGGGAAAGGTGAGGCGGAGAGAGTCCAGGAGGTGTGTAGTGTCTATCCGGATGTCCACAAAGACGTACAGCACCCGGAAGTCTTGGGCCGAGGTGTCCATGGGAACTGTGGGAGGGAGGAGTTCAGGGGCTGTTTGGGAAGGCAGGAGCAGCAGAGGGCCCGGCCAGGCTCAGGTCTCTGAGCAGCCAGGCGCAGTGGCTTCAGCCTGGGGGTAAAAGGACAGGGTAGGAGAAGAGGGGGGTCACAGATCCCCTAGAAGCTCCTTCTCAATCAGACTTCTCTGTCACCCGGCCGGGGCCCAGCCTGCTCTACAACCAACAGCCTTTCAAACACCTGCATCTGGGACAGAGCACCGTTGCCAAGGCAACCAAATCCAAAGGAAAGATCTACCTGCAGAGCGGGAAGGCAGAGGCCACCCCAGAAACCAGGAGGGACCTTGTGTCTCCAAGCAGGACAAGAAGGCACTGCCATGGGGAAGATGAATGTGCAGCCTGCCTCCCTGCCAGCCCCGCCACCGTCCAGGTGTCCTGGCCCCACCATACTCAGGCAACTGTGGCCGTAGTGCACCAAGAAGTCAGCTCCCAGGGCCCTCGCTGTGAAGTCATCCACACAGCAAGCCCCGTAGGTCACGTCACCCATCACCATCACTTCGGCCTCCGTGAACCTGCGGGCACAGGGGCGGGGAACGGTGGGACAGGGACACAGGGACTGAGGTAGGAGAGACCCAACCCTGGGAGGGTGTCTCAGGGCCCAGCTCCTCTCTCCCTACCTCTCCCAGTTCCTCGGGATGGCAGCTGCCACTTCTGCCAACAAAGATTAGGAGGGGCACAGCTGCCGCCTGCCCCAGCCTGGCAGCCGCTCCTGGAACTGTTGCTGCGTGAGGACCCTCATTCCTCTACCCAGGCTCAGGCTGCAGGAGGGACCCCAACCCTCACTCCGGCACACGTGGGGTCAAAACACAGACGCCCCATGCCCTGACTCACCCACCCAGAGCCGTGAGCACGCACACACACCCAAAGGTCCTCACTCCCGCGCTGAGTGCTGTGGTGGGCATGGGCGTGGCTGTATGAATACACACAGCCTCCCTCTTGCCGGGACCCCCACTCCCTCCCCACCACAGGCAGGGCCCCCACCCCCTCCCCACCACAGGCAGGGCCCCCTCACCCGGACCCCCACTACCTCCCCACCACAGGCAGGGCCCTCTCGTCCGGACCCCCACTACCTCCCCACCGCAGGCAGGGCCCTTGGTGCCCAGGATGGGGGGACCCAGGCACAGCTCCCCCATAGCACATGGCACCACCTACACGCCTCCTGCATCAGGAAGAGGAGGCTCTGGCCAGAACACTGCCGTGGGAACTGCTGCCAGGCCTGAATCACTGGGGGAGGGGGTGGGTGGGGAAGACCTTGTACCCCTGAACTCACCCTAGGAATGGAGGAGAACCCCCTCTTCCTTGAAAGAGACTCACACTTGGGGCGTGGAGCCTGGCTCAGTGACTGGGGTCCCCCCATCCTTCCCCTGGGGGTGTGGCAGTGGAAGAGTTGAGCTCCTGCTAGTCACCCCCTCCTCCACCCCCTTCCCCAAATCAGGCTGTGCCCAGAAGCAGATTATTCACCTCCTTAGAATGCAGCCCAGGCGTCTAAGTCAGCCACAGCACTTAATTTTTTATAGATTAAAATGTATGCAAATTGGCCTGAGCCCCAGAGAGCATCCCCAAGGGGCAAGACGGTGGGAGCAGGGAAGTGAGTCTGTGGCAACAAGATGGGGCAGCAGGGGAGGGAGGGCAGCAGCAGGGGAGGGGGATGGGGCAGCAGCAGGGGAGGGGGATGGGGCAGCAGGGGAGTGGGGGAGGAGGGGAGGGGGCAGCAGGGGAGGGGGGAGCAGGGGAGGGGGAAGGGGGAGTAGGGGAGGGGAATGGGGCAGCAGGGGAGGGGATGGGGAAACTGGGGAGGGGGATGGGGAGCAGGGGAGGGGAGGGGGAGCAGGGGAGGGGGAAGGGGAGGGGAGAGAGGGGGAGCAGGGGAGGGGAAGGGGGGAGAAGAGAGGTTTGGGGGAGCAGGGGAGGGAGGGTGGCAGCAGGGGAGGGGGATGGGGCAGCAGGGGATGGGGGAGCAGGGGAGGGGGATGGGGGAGAAGGGGAGGGGGAGGGAGGAGCAGGGGAGGGCGATGGGGCAGCAGGGGAGTGGGAGGTTCCCAGCATGAGATGACCTCCCCTTTCTTCGTTCCCCTCCCCTGTTCCTGTGCTGGTTCCAGATGGCTGAGCTCTCACCCTCCCCACCAAGGATGGCTCATTGTATTGCAGAAACTTAGAGTGACAGGGGTAGGATGTAGAGGAACTGAATACCTTCTCCCAGGCACCTCCCACTCCAAACCCATCCTTGCCCTACTTCCCCAAATGTGCCCGAGGAACAGGTGCCCCCCACCGCCCCCGACCGGCAGACCTCCCACTGATCACTCAGCGCATTTCAGGGGCAGCTTGGAGAATTCTTAGGGTCCTCCCCAGGTCCTACCACCTGCTCTGGGTCTAGCTTTGAAGACACTGGGATTGATTTCTTTCTCTGTCCCAAATGTTTAGGGGAGGGGGGATTTGCAGGGACAAGCAGGGCTCTCAGCAAGCTGGGAGATTTGTTTTGGGTTTTCCCTGAGTGTGTGTATGGTTGTGGGAGGGAAAGGGGGAAGGTGGAGGTTCAGAAGGAAAAAATGCCCGCCACCAGGGCTTTACCCACCCGGGTAATGAGCATAGGGGGTGGGGGAAGCCTGGCTCACCCTCCTCTCCAGTGCCCCAAGCCTCACCTTTCCAAGATATCCACAATGGTACAGGCAAAGAGGAGGAGGCCTTCCGGCATTTGCAAGGCCACTGCAAGACGAGCAGAGACATGAGAGGTGGAGGGCTAGGAAGGGGCTGCAAGGGGGACACTGTCCCATCTGGGCCAGGCAACCTCTCCACCCCAACCCCAGCTCAATGATCACAGGCTCACCCTTCTTGGCCTGGGCTTGTTGGATCCTCCAGATGGTCTTGGGGATCTCAAAGTTGTAGTTGGAAGGCAGGACCCGGATTGCTGCCTGCAGCTGAGGGTTCTTCAGGATCTCAGGGGGGATCTGATTGGCCACGCGGCCCCGAGGGGCCCGACCTAGAATGGATATAAGGCCTGAGTTGGTGTCTGTCTTTGGCTGAAGCCAGATTGAGATGGAATAGGGATCCCTTTTCAGGGCCTGCCGGTGCCCCCGCTCAAGCATAGAAATAAAAATTTTGAGTCATCTCAAGAAAAATCCCAGGCATCTTAGCTAGCCCTACAACCAGCAATTAGGGAATTAAATAACTTGCTAAACAAGAAGATAATAAACAACAGTCACCCAAGTCAGAGTCACGAGATGCCTGGTTCCCTATAGAAACTACACATAACACCTTGACATATATCCCTAAGTTGTTTTTCAGAAACCAGGACACCCACCCCCCCACCAGGTGAAAAATGCCAACTAATTGCTGTCATGTAAGACCTCAGACAGACTGAAGCCAGAAAATAGGTAAGAAAGTTCCAGAAATTCCCCAGCCCTTAATTCACTTTAAAGATCCCCAGAAGCCCAGCCTTTAAAAACCCTCTGCAGCCGGGCGCAGTGGCTCACGCCTGTAATCCCAGCACTTTGGGAGGCTGAGGCGGGCGGATCACGAGATCAGGAGATCGAGACCATCCTGGCTAACACGGGGAAATACTACTCTCTACTAAAAATACAAAAAATTAGCCGGGCCTGGTGGCAGGCACCTGTAGTCCCAGCTAAGGCAGGAGAATGGGGTGAACCCGGGAGGCGGAGCTTGCAGTGAGCCGAGATCACGCCGCTGCACTCCAGCCTGGGCAACAGAGCGAGACACCATCTCAAAAATAAATAAATAAATAAAATAAAAACCCTTTGCTTGTAAGCCATCAGGAAGTTTAGGTCTTAAGCTTTAGCTGCCCAGTCTCCCTGCTTGGTGCCTTACAATAAATGCTTGTTCTCTCCCTGCAAATCTCCATGTCAGTGTTTGGCTTTTGCTTTGTGTGGATGGGAAGACCCAAGTTGAGTTTGGTAACAAGACCCAGCTAAGCTGTTAACTCCACCAAGTTTAAGGGCCAGATCCAGACACCAAGGGGGTTGGCCCAGCTTTCGTTCTCACTGAATTCATCCTGAAGGTAGAGACAATTCATTAAGCCAGAAGGTAACCGGTATAATTTCCATGTTGTGAAATCACTGGGAATCGAAGACTTGAGCCCATGAATAGAATATGGCTCACCTTCTTCCTCAGGAGAACAGAGGTGACACCAGGGGCTAAGGGGCAAAGAATGAGTCTGAGTCCATATACTGCTCCCTGATAGAGAACAGCCCTGCGGAAAACCTAAGAGTCAGTCTAGCCAGCCCAGCCAGCCTGGGAGAATGTCCCCCCTCTCCCACCTCCTGAGGACACCTTGAAGTTTTGAGCTTCTAGATATGAGGTCTATAAGCAAACCGTTAAACATGAATACTAACTTAAAAGACTGCCCTCCTGACTCAGAACCCCACTGACTGTGGCCACACTGTTCGTTCTTTCACGCTTACCTCTCCTCATTTAAAAGGGAAATAAACATCATACATTTAACTGACTTAGCTGTCCCATTGCTCCTCCTTACTCTTAAACCAGGAAGGATGGAAAGAACACTTGAGTCAGGGTGGTGGACGTACCAGTAAGGACAGAAAAGTGACCTTGTCCCTTAGAGACCAGCAGTCTAGTGGGGGAAAAGACAGGTATACACATAATTACAACTCCTGGAGTAAAGGGGAAACCGTAGCCCTTAGCAAACTGCAACTCTTACTCTGGTCTCATCCTACTCCTAAGTAGGATAAAAAATAATAAGCTGAATAAACAATTCATCTTATTATTTTTTAAGGCAGGGTCTCACTCCATCACCCAGGCTGGAGTGCAGGGGTGCAATCATGGTCCACTGCGGCCTCGACGTCCTGGGCTCAAACGATAATCCTCCCACCTCAGCCTCCCCAGTAGCTAGGACCACAGGCATGTGCCAAGACGCAGGGCTAATTTTTTTTTTTTTTTTTTTTTTTGAGACAGAGTCTCACTCTGTCTGTTGGCCAGGCTGGAGTGCAGTGGTGCAATCTCGGCTCACTGCAACCTCAGCCTCTCGGACTCAAGCAATTCTCCTGCCTCAGCCTCCCGAGTAGCTGGGATTACAGGCGTGTGCTACCACACGCGGCTAATTTTTGTATTTTTAGTAGAGACAGGGTTTCCACCATGTTGGCCAGGCTGGTCTCAAACTCCTGACCTCAGGTAATCCGCCCGCCTCAGCCTCCCAGAGTGCTGGGATTACAGGTGTAAGCCACCGTGCCCGGCCACGCACGGCTATTTTTTATTTTTTTGTGCATACAGGGTCCCCCTATGTTTCCCAGACTGGTGTGGAATTCCTGGGCTCACACAATCCTCCTTAGCCTCCCAAAGTGCTCAGACTAAAGGTGTAAGCCACTATGCCCTGCCCCGACAATTAAGCTTAGTTCAACCCCGTTATCTCTTCAGGAGCCACAGAGTCTGAGGATATGAAAAGGCAAGAAATTAACTTATTCAACGAATATGTATTGAGACTGTGCTATGTGCCACAACTTCTGCTAGGGCCCCACACTATGATAGGAGGGACCCGCCCAGACATGAGGCTTCACCCACTGTGTGGGCGGCGGTGGGGATGGTCCAGCGGAGGCTGGGGCCCTGAGATCAGATTTGAACGTTACCACTGCTATGGTTTTTGGCCAGTTGTTTCAAAAGCCTTGGACAATCAGCCTAGGCTTCCTAGGCCCATTACAGATCCTCCTCTGACAGGTCCCTAGTGGTCGCTGGCGTGTAAGGAACTGCTAACATTAGCCCTTCAATGTGTCCCAGGGACCAGTAGGCACCTCCTCCTTTATCACGTGGCTATGATATGTTTACATTAACATTCCCCCAGTAGACTGAGATCTCTGATTCTAGTACCTGCACCCAGCGCAGGCCTGGCATTCGGTGGGCGCTCAGTTAATGCCTGGCGAATGAAACCTTTTGCCTCTTCCCTGAAAGCATTCCCTGAGGGCGCACTCGTAAAATGCCCGCTGCATCTGGCCTGGCCCTTTCCCTCCCCGTCGAGTCCATTTTATCCGTCTACCCGCCAAGACAAGGCTGTAGTTTCCGATTGGAGGATTAAGGGCTGCTCTCGGTCGTGCCCTAAAGCTGCAAAAGACTGGTACCCCTGGGCTCCGGCTGACAGCGACCCCGAGCTGGTGACAGCGGCCCAAGGCGACTAACAGCGGGATCTAGCGGAGAAAGGCGCCGCCGCCGTTAAAGGGGGTTGGTCCTGTCCCTAACTTGGGGGCCCCGCCCCGAGATGCGAGGTCTGGAGGGCGCAGCGTTCCAGCACCCACCTCTGCCAGGGCCGTCTCGGCCGCCCTGCTCCGCTGCCCCGGATACGACCAGCGCCGCCATCACCTGCCTGCGCATGTGGTACTAAAAAGACAGCGCTGGAAGAACGCGGAGAGCGCAGACATTGCGATCGATCGCCGATCGGCCAGCGGGGGCGGGGGATACCCGCTGGGCGGGGCCATAAAGGAGGAGATAGGGGCGGGGCTGTAGTGGGCTCCACCCCAGCCCAGAATGCCGGGACTCAGGATTCCCTAGAGGTCCCCGACTATGCAGTTGCCCTTGCCCTGCGACTTAGTCTCCCACTCCTCTCCCCGGCCGGGCACGAGCCTGGCACTCCCGGACCGGTGCTCTCCTATGTGCGAACTCCCTGCACGAACTCTGCAGGCCGAGTCTTGTGAAGGGGACACCCACCAGATGTTCCTTGAGCCCCCCCTGCCAGTCTCCCCTCCTGGTAAGCAGTGGTCGGTCACCCGGCCGCCGTGTGGGGCCACGTTCCCTACCTAGGGGGACTCTACTGTCCGGCAGGACAGAACTCAGGGACCACCAGCCCAGCTCCAAGTTGAGAGTCTTGGTGCAGGTTTGTGGATCGCCCTTATCAGCTTTTTAAATTATTTTTTTTGAGACAGGGTCTTGGTCTGTCGCCCAGGCTGGAGTGCAGTGGTGCGATCATGGTTCACAGCAGTCTCAACCTTCTGGGCTCAATTCATCTTCCTGCCTCAGCCCCCTGAGTACCCGGGACCACAGGCGTACGTTCAGCTAATTTTTTTTTTTTTTTTTTTTTTTTTTTTTAGTAGAGATAAGGTTTCACTATTTTGCTCAGGCTGGTCTTGAACCTCTGGACTCAAGCAATCCTCCCACTTTGGCCTCCCAAAGTGCTGGGATTACAGGCGCGAGCCACTGCACCCAGCCTTTATCACCTTTAGAATCCACTGCGTAGACCCTGTAGAAACTGCCCCTCTGGGGAAGGCCCACAGCCTGAGGGTGCTTTCCTGGGAAGGTGGGCAGTGGAGGACTGTGATGTCTAACCCTTCTGGACCCTGGCCAACCTTTGCCCTGCCCCTCAGGGCTGGTCTTTCTCCTGATCACTGGCCAGAGCCCCAGAGACCCCAAAGAGAAGACAGCCAGTGAGACGGCTTTGACCTGTGGAAGAGCAAAGTACCTGCAGGACTGGCCCTCAGCAGTCTGTCCCGTGGAACAATGGTCTTCCAGGTCTGACGGTCTACCCAGCCCCCTGGCATCCTCCTCCTCTCTCTGCGGTGGTGCTGTGATCACAGCTGGCCCTTTAAGTCAGCTCTGTGTCCTCGGGCTCCCCCAGAGGCCCTCCCTGCTTGGAAACCCCTAATTAAGGTGCAGGGAGAAGTAAAAACAAGCAGCCAGAGACAGGCCCTGCCTGGGAGGCTGCCCAGAGAGGAGGAATGGCTGGACAGGCAGGGAGTGAGCAGCTGAGGGACCATCACCAAGGGTCAGTGCTGTGCCCCCCAGGCCACCGGCACTCTTAGGACAGGTAGCTCTAGACAGAAAAGTGACCAATGTGGGTCCCAGGAACACTCCCCTCAACTCGATAAGCGTCCGGACTAGACCTTCCCATCTCCCCCCAGCTTCTCTGGATCCCCAGGGTGCAAGATCTGAATTCTGGGAGCTCAGCCCCTCCTCTCTCAGGACACTGCTGCCCAGCCTGTGGACAGCCTTAGCTGTGACTGCAGCATGGAGTTTCAAGGGGAAAGGACTGGCTCCAACTGAGCAATGGCTTCTCCCTAGCAGGCGCCATATCCCTTGGGACCTTTCCCTCATCAGAGGTGGGGCCTGTTTGATGGCAAAAGTCCCATCCCTCTAGTAACATTGCCCCGCACCCGCTGTGCCTAATGAGCTGCTCTGGCCCCCATTAGGAAGCCGGATGATGCCTAGGAGAACTGGACATGAAGAACAGATGTGAGAATGCTTCCCCAAGACTCCGTGGTGCAGGACATTGGGGGCTGCCATTCAGCTTGGGCTGAGGGCACCTCCATCTGTCTGTGGGGGTCTCCCTGCCTGAGTTACTCAGCAGTCTGAGTAATTACTGCCTGACAAGAAGGCGGGCACAGTGCACCCCCACAGTACACCACAACACCCGCCTTCACTCGCCCCCACTCCCTGGCTGGACTCCAAGGCAGCACCCAACCCTCCTGAGGCCTGAAATAACTCTGCTTCTCACACTCACGCCCAGCCCCAGCCAACTTTTCCTAAGACGCTAGAGTTTGTGGGCTAGGGGGTCATGGGGAGGCGGCTTGGAGAGGTGGAAGGAGGATTATCCCACATTCAGGCCCTGAGTCAGGCCCACACTTTATCGCTGATCTGTGATGTGACGTTGAGCAAGTTGTTCATCCTCTCTGGGCCTCGGTGTACTTACAGAGGACCTCTCAGGCTCCCAGTGTCAGGGCTAAGGCAGGCAGTGGGGTGAGCACTGCCTTGTAGCTGGTGGCTAAGAGAAGGAATACCTCACCTTCTGTTCTACGCCAAGAGGGACCAATCTTTTTTTGTTCGTGTTTAACTGCTCCTGTGGCCATGGGCAGTGTGCCCAGAGTAGCAGCCATCCATCTTTTTTTATCTTTAAACATTTTTTTGAAATAGAGATGGAGTCTCACACTGTTGCCCAGGCTGGTCTCAAACTCCTGGCCTCAAGCAATCCTCCCACCCCAGCCTTCCAAAGTGGTGAGATTATAGGTGTGAGCCCATGGTCCTCAGGAAGGACCAATCTTATCTATCTTCAGAACAAGGTTACTTCTCACCTTCAAGCATCTACGTGGAATGCCCTTCCCCCTTCTTAGTGTGGTGAACTCAGCCTTCAAGACCTAACTCCAAGGGCACCTCTTCTGTGACTGTTTCCTGATTATCTGGTAGCCCCTGGCAGAGCTAGCAGAGCCCTTTCGCAGTCTTTGTGACTTCTGTCAGTCACACTCTAAGATGGTTTGCGGGTCTTTCTTTTCCCACGACACCTGAAGCTTCTGGAAGTCCAAGCCCAGAGCCTTAGCTCAAATCTGAAGCTTCAGTGCCACCAAATGCAGGTGTGAGTGAATACGTCAGACTGGCCTTCTTTTTTTTTGTTTGTTTTGTTTTTTTGAGACAGTCTCGCTCTGTCACCCAGGCAGGAGTGCAGTGGTGTGATCTCGGCTCATTGCAATCTCCATCTCCTGTGTTCAAGAGATTCTCCCGTAGCCTCCCAAGTAGCTGGGATTACAGGCGCACACCACCACGCTCGGCTAATTTTTGTATTTTTAATAGAGACGGGGTTTCACCTTGGCCAGGCTGGTCTCGAACTCCTGACCTCAAGTGATCTGCTCAGCCTCCCAAAGTGCTGGGATTACAGGTGTGAGCCACCGCGCCCAGCCTGGCCCTTTTTTTTTTTTTTTTTTTGAGACAGAGTCTCACTCTGTCACCCAGGCTGGAGTGCAGTGGCGCGATCTCGGCTCACTGCAACCTCCGCCTCCCGGGTTCAAGCGAGTCTCCTGCCTCAGCCTCCCGAGTACCTGGGATTACAGGCGCCTGCCACCATGCCCGGCTAATTTTTGTATTTTTATTAGAGACCGGGTTTCACCATGCGGGCCAGGGTGGTCTCGAACTCCTGACCTCGTGATCTGCCTGCCTCCGCCTCCCAAAGTGCTAGGATTACAGGCGTGAGCCACCGCGCCCGGCCCTGACCTTCTTTTTGACCTTCCTATCATGTCACCTTTTCCTACAAGGAGGGATTCAGTTGGATTTCTGCTTGGATGTCACCTGCTCAGAGCAGCTTTCCTTGACTGCCACCTCTACCCCCGTGTCAGCTCCAGAACAATACTCTGCTTGTTTTTCTTCGAAGCACAATCTTCCCATCTTCTCTGGACTTTCCTCATTTGGCCCCTATTAAAATGGAAACTCCTTGAGGACAGGGCAAAGACAAGTCTTTTTCGTCTGCTGAATTTTCAGGAACAGTAGTGCCCCACACATGCTGAGCCTTCGGTGAATGTGTGTTGAATGACAGCCTTGGTCCATCCGCTTTTTCTTCTCTCCGAATCCCTCTGATCCCAGGCCAGCAGGGGGTGCCGCCTCCACCCAGGATCTCGCCTGGCCCGAACCTTCTCTTCCCTCAGCTCAACAGGCCCCTGCGGGACCCGCTTTCCAAGCGGCGCCTCCTCCATTTTCCGCGAACCCCCCGGCGGGGTCTGTGTGGACCAAGGGAGATCAGAGACCCCCCGCCGCCACCCCACCCAGGCGGAGACGGCCCACCCGAACCCGCACGGGTCCTTCCTTCTCCCTGGAATTTGCAGCTGGCCCTTTCCGAATGCTTGCTCCCCTCCTCTCCCCACGAAAGAACAGTGTCCTGGGACTCGGGGTGCGGGGCAGCCGGGTTCGCTGGAGCTGTTCAGTGCGGGGAAGAGCCGTCGAGACTGGGAGAAGGGGCGCTGGCCAGGGAGGAGACGGGGCAGGGAGCGGACTCGCGATCCGTACTCTGGGCGGCGGTCCTCGCGTCCCAGCCGCGTCTCCCGATGACCTCCAGCCGCGAAGGGCGAGCGGGCGGGGGCTGGGCTGCGGGTTCGGGCTCCAGGAGGCCTGCGGGGCCGGGGAGGGGCGTGGAGTGGTCCGAGGACCGGCTTGGGGACTGGGGGCAGGTGCCTGGACGGACGCGGGCCGAGCATCTTCCCCGGGGGCGGGCGCAGTGAAAACACCTTGGGAGGCGGCGCCGCGCGGCTGAGCGCTGCTGCCTTGGGAATAGGACGGCGCTCGGCACTGCGAGCTGAGAGCACTTTCATAAATTTTGTATGGGAGGCGCTCCGTGAGCGGGGGCGGGGAGCGGAGCGAGAGGGAGGGAGCTAGAGAGCAAGGGAGGGAGGGAGGAGGAGAGGAGGGGGAAGCCGGGGGGAGGAAGGGAGGCGCCCCGCTCCGCCGATCGCTCGGTCCTGCAAACGCGCGCCGGGCGCTTTCCCCGGAGCTCGGCGGTGCGTGCGAGCGCCCTTTTGCTGCAGCCGCGGCGGCGGTGGTCCGAGGGGGCGGAGAGGAGGGGGCTGCGGCCGGCCGGCCAGGGGGCGGCGTCCCCCCTCAAAACCGCCTGCGAAGTGCTCCGGGTGGCAGAAGCAGGCCGCCGGCTCCGCGGAGCAAGCCGCTCGCCCCGGGGCTGAGCAAGCGCGCGGGGCTGCCGGGCAGCACCACGGTTGCTTGCGGGCGCCGGTGCCCTCGGCGCGGGGCTGGAGCTCACCATGCCCCTGCGGGGCCGGGCCACCGGGCACGAGCGGATCCCCGGCTTGCCCCCGCCTCGACGCGCTCGGATTAGCTGCAGCTGGCGCCCAGGGATTTGAATCTGGACCCCGGGAGGGAGTGCGCCTAGGCCGACCTCGGAGCGGCGGCCCCGTGGCCAACATGCTTCGCAAAGGTGAGTTGGAGCCGCAGGGGCAAGTTGAAGTTGAATGCGCTCCGGAAAGAGCCGCGAGCCCGGGCGCCGCCCGGCGCCGGGGCTCCCGGTCTGGGAAGTAGCCCCCGGCGGGCTGGTGGGTTTTGCCGGGCGCACCCGCCGAGGGGCTGCTGCTGGGGCTCAGCTCCCGTCAGCGGCCAGTTGTGAGACACGGGGTTTTCTCCATGGATCGAGTGGCCAGGCCTAGAGATCCGGCCCGGAGGGGTCAGTCGGAGACCAGAGTGAGCGGCCGGTGGTGGAAGGGGAGCCGGCCTCCTGGGACCTTTGCTTTGCTGGGATAAAGTTTTGCACTTGCAGCCTCCATTCCCTGCGCGGGCACACGCCCTTGCTTCTGCCGCTTTGTGGAGGCCGAGTCCGCACGGCGCCCCCGTGCAGCCAGCGGTCAGTGACCGCGCGGCCCGGGCGCTCCCCGCGCGCCCTAGCTCCCCAGACGGGGCCCGGACGCGGACGTCTTCTCTGCAGTTCTGCTCTGATCGCTAGGGATGGGCTCTGGGCACCCAGCGGCTGAGGGTGGGGAGCGGCCAGCGCCTGATGTCCAGTTCCTCAAACTTTCATTATGCTGGGAGCGGAGGGACGCGAAAGCCGTGCCGCCAGTGTGCGCGACCGGTGCACAGCTCAACTTGAGGACAGCTGGCTTCGCGACCACCGTAGCTAGACGCCCCAGCAGCCCGGCCCGGTACGGAGCGCGGCAAAGTTGGTGCGGGCACCGGGGAAGTCCCGCCGCGCCCCCACGTGGTTGCCACGCGGGGCGCCGTCCCCCGGGCCCTGGGAGGGCAGGTGATCACGCCGGGAGCCCACGGGCCCCGCCACCAGCTGTTCCAGCCTCTGCGTCTGCCTCTCCCCTCCCAGGCCCGAGCAGGCTGTGGCGCCCCGCCGGGATCCCCCCCGCGCCTGGCCCGGCCAGGAGGCTGAGAAGCCGCGGCGCCTGCGGCTGGCTGCCCCGGCCCTGCGGGAGCGGCTGAGGCGGGAGCTCAGGTAGCCGAGGGGCCTGATCCCTGCGCTCCACGCTCCAGCCTTAATCCGCCCCTGTTTCCATGGCAACAGACCGAGGTGTCGTAAGCACAGGATTCTGACCTCACAGCAGGATGGGGAAGGAGAAAACGCGCACGGGGAGGGGGTGGAGGGGGGGGAGGTTGGGGAGGTGGGGGGAAGCGAAGCCCTAAGATGGGCGGAGAGAAGCAGATGTGGAGGTGATGGCGAAGACCCAGATATAAGCAGGTCAGGCAGGTGGGTGGAGGAACCACGCCTTTGGTGGGGCAGTGAAGGCCGTGTGGTGGTCCTAGCTTGGGCCGACCGAGGAAGCTGAGTTGCCCCGTCGTCCTGGAATAGTAACAAACTTGTGTGTGACTTGTGCCCTCCACGTGGGTCGGTGCAGTTCAGGGGGAAACGCCGGCTGCCTTCGCTGTGGTATGGAAGAGTTTCTGGGGCTAGTTGGAGAAACCGCTTCGCAGACACACCCCAGGTTCTCCTTTTCCCTGCAGAAAGGGACAAAAAGTCCTTTCAGCAACCGAGCAGTGCTGGCCAAAGTGTCTTTGCACAGAGAAGGTGCTTTTTACAGAGCTGAGCAGAAGCCCGGGTCTGAGAAACTTGGGCCTGGAGCGTGCAAACTTGCCCCGGTCGAGAAGGCTTCCCAGACAGCTCTGAGAGGCCGCCATGTCTGGGCTGCAGGTCTGTGATAGGGATAATGGAGAGGAACTGACATCTCATTTCCCTTTTGGTCTTTTGTCTTTTGGCAGTTTATAGTTAAAAATGAGCCACCAAGCAGCCCACACACTTTATTTATATGGTTTAGGTGCCCAAGGAGGCTCCAGCAGCCTCCAAGAGCCTTTCTCTCCCACCCTGGCTAGCCAGAGGCCCAGCTGTGGATGAGCACAGTGCACTGTGGGGGCCGCTCCCCGGGGGGAGGCTCCTTACCCTGCACAAGAGGCGGCCACCGGAGGCTTAGCAGTCACGTGTGTTTGCCACTCGGGCTGTTTCTTCCTTCCTGCACAGCCTGGTTGGCTGAAGAGGTTCCACCGATAGGTTTCCACCTGGATTGGCCCAAAGGAAGCAGAGCAGAGAAGCCCTTCACTGGGCTGGGCTCAGCCTGGGTGACCTGGAGACCGCCCCTAGGGCATCGTGTGGACGGGTGACTTGTGTTGGTTCTTTCCTGGGCAGGCAGTTTTCTCTCTTGGCCCCAGATCCTGATCTTTTGGATTAGTTTCTTCTGCACACCTGTATAGGACACTCAGATTCTCTGTATGGATTCTAGGTAGGCGCCCAAAGCCAAAAGCATGCCTGAGGCTAATGCCCAGGGAGGTGGCCATTGAAGTGTCTGCTTCTAGAATTCTTCCCAAAGTTTCCAAGCGAAAATGATACAGGAGGCCAGGTGTGGTGGCTCATGGCTGTAATCCCAGCATTTTGGGAGGCCGAGGTAGGAGGATCACTTGAGACCAGGAGTTCGAGGCCAGCTCGGGCAACAGAGTGGGACTTCGTCTCTACAAAAAAAAATTTTTTTTGAGACAGAGTTTCACTCTGTTGCCCAGGCTGGAGTGCAGTGGTGCAATCTCAGCTAACTGCAACCTCTGCCTCCCAGATTCAAGCAATTCTCCTGCCTCAGCCTCCCAAGTAGCTAGGACTACAGGTGCACGCCACCATGCTTGACTCATTTTTTGTATTTTTAGTAGAGATGGGGTTTTGCCATGTTGGCCAGGCTGGTCTCAAACTCCTGGTCTCAAGTGATCTGCCCACCTCGGCCTCCTGAAGTGCTGGGATTACAGGTGTGAGTCACTGCACCCGGCCAAAATTTTAAAAAATTTGCAGTGGCATACACTGGTGGTCCCAGCTACTTGAGAGGCTGAGGTGGGAGGATCACTTGAGTCTGAGAGGTGGGGGCTGCAGTGGGCCGAGATTGTACAACTGCCCTCCAGCCTGGGGGACAAAGCCAGACCCTATTTAAAAAAAAAAAAAAAAAAAAAAAGACCGGGCACAGTGGCTCACACCTGTAATCCCAGCACTTTGGGAGGCCGAGTTGGGAGGATCACCGGAGGTCAGGAGTTCGAGACCAGCCTGGCCAACATGGTGAAACCCCGTCTCTACTAAAAATACAAAAATTAGCCGGGCGTGCTGGTTCATGCCTGTAATCCCAGCTCCTTGGGAAGTTGAGGCAGGAGAATTGCTTGAACCCGGGAGGCGGAGGTTACAGTGAGCCAAGATCGCACCACTGCACTCCAGCCCAGGAGAAGATGCGAGACTCTGTCTCAAAAAAAAAAAAAAAAAAAAAGGTATAGGATGTGTTTAAATAGTTCTTGCTGTTTTCTTGCCTATAATATGCAGAGCCCTATGTGGGGTCCTGGACCTGAGGGAGTGTAATAATTTAATTATGATTCTGAAAAGGGTTTGAAAGATGAAGAAAGGGTAGCCCTCCCTAGATCCTGTGGGAAGGAGGGAAGAGAAAAAACCCCTCATCTTTCTGCAAAGGGCAGGGCTCATGGTCTTGATAATGGGGTGCCCTATGCAGTGAGGGGTGCAGTGGTATGAAGCCCCAGAGGAGGAGGAAGGCGGAGCACACCTTGGGCCATAAGGATCATCTCTCTGATTCCTGGTTGTCCTAGTAAAGCTGTCCCCTGGCATGACATTTTGGGAGGACTGAGGGGGACTGCCTTGCATCTCTTAATGAAAGGACTCTACTGGCCACAGCCCCACCTCTGTGAACTAGAACAACCCCAGTGGGACCAAGCTGCTGACAGTGCTGGTAGCTGAAGGCTTCAGCAGCTGCCCTCCCTGCTTCTCCATCTCGTGGCCTAGCCGGCAAAACCAGGGATATTAAAAGCAAGCCTCTGGTTAAGAGGTGAGAGGCAGCAGGGCAAGCGAGGCCCCAAGCCACCCGGCAACATCCAGGAAGGAAGGGCGGCCCGCTGGGGGGTTTGCTTTGCCAGAAGTGGCCTCTACTTAAGGTCGGGACCCGTGGCTTTCCTGTGTAGAGCTATGAAAACAGAATGCAAATCCAGAGCCTCTGGGCTAATACAGAACCTTTCCTTAAAGTTTTTGTCTTGTTAAGCAAGAAAATAGAGTGCCAAATAGGCTTTGTTAAGTGGCAGTCTAATTAATAATTTAAAATCTTATAACTGTCTTTCATTAGACTTTATCTGTACATCAACCACAAAATCAGTCAAACACACTCATTTATAAGTTAATGCCATCCCTGAATAATTCAGCGAGAGCTAGATTAAGGCCTGCAACCCAGTACGATGCATTTGGTTCCCTTGGTTTCCACGGGCAGATGGGCTGGTCTGGTGGCGGATTTGGGCTTCTCTTTTGTGGGAAGAAGGGAAGGCAAAGGGAAGGAGGGACCGTGGTGGCATCAGATGGTTGCTTCACTTGAATCCACAGCTCCTCTAGGTGTTTGGAGAGTCTTCAAGTGTCCAGATGTGGGCAGGCTACATCTCTGCCTCTCTCTGGGGGCAACCAAGACTTGGAGCTATAGTAATGTAGCTGCCCTTAACCCCAGTGGCGAGAGTGAGAGAAGAGCGTTCCCTGCACGGCCAAGATACTCTTTTCTGCTGCAGAGGAAGTATAGAGGGGAGATAGAAGAACCCTTATCAAGGAGGCTGAGCTGTGAGACTTTTTAGCCCAAATCCAGGTGCAGAAGTCAAATTTCGGCCTTCCCAGCCCATTTCTGTCCCAGTCAAGGCATGTAGCCTGGTGGAACCAATCTCACCAAAACAGCTTCTCTCCTTAGGAGCTTCTGGGCTGCTGCGCTCCTCAAAGCTCCGGGTCCTTATGCCAGAAAAAAGACGTCAAGAGGAGAGATTTTAGGGGAGCGCCCTGACAGAGAGGAGAGGCAGAGCGAGTTGCTAAGTAAAGCCCATGCATGCATTTTCTCACCAGCATGCCAGAATAACAGCAAGGACAGCAGAGGGATGTTCCCTGTGAGCTCAGACAACATAGAAAATGTGTTTTGGTTCGGTTCCCACCATGCCAGCATGGGAAACAATTCCTTACTGCAGAGTGTTCAGGTCCATTTTCTACAGGGAAACTGTTCATGACCCAAACTCCCAGCACGAGCCCTCGTTCCTCCACAGTAGGAGTGAACTTCAGAGTTTCTGGCCTCCGCCTCAGCTTGCGGACCTGGAGCCCTCTGGGCGGTTACATGGCTCTGTTGATGGAGACCAGGTAGAGACCCGGAGCAGACACGCTGTCCATGCCAGGAGAGCTTCTTGGCCGAGTTTGAGAAGAAGTCTCAGGAGGAAAAGGCAGGGGAAGGGGTAGGTGTTTGCCCCTGGCCAGTGGTGGAGTTGAAAGCAGATGGCATCAAAGAGGGGGAGTTGTGTGGGGCGAATCCAACTCCAAGCTCTGGCCGTGTCTTTGGGATGAGGCTTTAAAAAGGACAGAGCGGTTCACTTGCTGGAGATGAGAAGGAGGGCCAGGCGTCGTGAAGGATGTCGAGAGCAGAACTGCCTGGTACCATCTGCAGTGAAGTAGTGGTTAAGGTTAAAGCAGAGAGGAGATGACAGGGAGGGAACAGATGGCCGAGGCAGCAAAATAGCTGGCGAAACGGGAACGGAGCCTCCAGGGACGGCAGAAGCCAGGACCTCCACGCAGAGTGCCGAAAGCAGCCCTTTCCTCGGGGTGCAGTGGCCGGACCTCCCTGGGCAGAAATGAGACAGAGAGAGGAGTTGGGAAGGGACCCTAGCGTGAGGGCCCCCCCCAAGGCCTGGAGAAGACTGAGGGAACCATCAGCTCCAAGGCTAGGGCTGCAGGAGCAGAGGGGCCTCCAGGGATGTCGAGGAACTGGAGAGAGGAGCCCGCTGACTTGGTGTCCATCACTAGAATGAGTCCCAGCCACCTCGGGCTTCACAGAGCATGCCCAGCCAAGCCTGCTGGGAGGAGACATGGATGCTAGCTGGAAACAGGCAGCAGGCAATAACCTGCTCTTCCCCACCTGCCCGTCACTGTCCACATGCTGCCAATAGCCGCTTGTGTTTACTGAGCACTTGTTACAGCCTCACTGAGTGTGCTCCACGCCTTATCTCATGCCACCTCCACCCCCACCCTGCAGGATCCGTCTGTGCTCATTCCTCCGTGTCAGATGAGGAAACTGAGGCATAGCTAGCTGGAGTCCCTTTCCCTGGGCCACCCAGCCGGCGCACTGCTGAGTCAGGATGCAGCCCCCGCTCTGTCTGTCAAGCCCACCGTCTCCCTTGCCCTCTGGACCTCTGTGCTCCACTGTCTCACGTGCCCATCTGTCTTGATTTCTCTGACATTTGTTTTGTGGGGCGCTGGGCGCTGCTGATTCATTTCTGGCTTCTCGCAGAGCTTGCTGGTGGTTCCTATGCACTCCCCTCTGCGGTTCCTCAGGAGCCTCTCTGGCTGGGATCTGGGACTCCTGGGGCCTGAGCTGCTGTCTCATATGTCCTCTCCTACTCCCTCTCCCCCGGTGTCTGGAAGACACAGTCCTCACCTCTGTCTCCTGCCCTGGTTTCTTCCTTGGGGACAGAGATGGGACAGTGGGCCAGGAACCCTCCTGCCTGCTTTCACGCCCCTGAGGAGGGCCCAGGGCCATGGATTATTGGGGGGCTGTGCTCTGCTTGGGATCTCAGCCCTCCCCATGGTTTGCTCTCCCTGGCTTCCCTCCAGGGTGACCTGATGGACTTGCTAGCACAGCCCCGGAACACACTGGCTCCACCACCTATACCTGCCCCTCTTGCCTTGTAGTGCTCCCTACCTCCTGGGGGGCCTTCCCGCAGCCCAGCCCTAGCCTGCCAGGCAGGATGGCAGCTGCAGGGCTCAGCTGTCCTCCAGAAAGGGCTTCTCCTGTCCCCTTCCAGCCACGGTTGAGTCCCAGAGAGGTCAGTTCTCCCCGTGATTCTTTAGGAAAAGAAAGAAGATGAAACAAGGCAGAGAGTCTAGCTGATCTTAGGGTGCAGGAGCGTGGAATCCCGCTTCAGAGTGGAGGCCTCCTCCGCTGTGGTGAGGCTCGTGCTTCCGAACCTGTGATCACTGTCTAACCAGTCAGCGAAGCGTGGAAACGAAACTGCAAACAGCCCCTGCTATCTGATTCAGGAGAGTCGCTCTGGAGACCTCTGTGCTGGCACAGCAAAAGAGTTGGTACCATAGTGTGTGTGCGTGTGTGTGTGTGTGTGTGTGTGTATGTACAGAAACACACCTGGCAAAGCATGCAACAGGCTCCCTGTAGTGTGTGTGGCAGAGGTCACTGTTGCAGAGCAGGACACCCTAGTGCACCAGAGCCTCTGCTGGCACCCACACCATTGGTCCACTGGCAGGGCTCGGTGCCGTGGCACGATGGTGAGCCAGTCAGTGGGGGCAGGGGCTCCCAGGAGTGGGCAGGCCAGCGCTGTGTGTGCCACATGTCAGGAACAACACTTGCTGAGTGGGTGTGTGGCTCGCCCTCACAGGGGGTGGGTGGGCACGACTCGTGACATGTCTGCCAGGGGACAGACCACTGCAGCCCCCAGCGATGGGCCACTTGGCAGCTCACTGAGTTGATTCCAGAGGGTAGTGGCATCATGGTGACAACTACGTGAGCAAGGGTCTTTCCCAAATCAGGACAAAAGCTGGGCTCCCAACTTTCAGCCCACTGAGGTGGTAGAAAGTTTGCTTCTGCCTCCAAAATCATCCCCACAGGATTTGCTATCTCTTTCTGGGCACCAGGACCAGCACGCAGTGAAGGGGGCCTTTACATATGCTTATGTTGAGAGATTCATGAGGCCCTGGGGGGAAATTGGCATTCTTCTGACCATGATTTATTTATACGGCGATAGGATGATGGGGATATGGAGGCTAAGGTGACTCCATGAGTGAGAAGCGCACAAGGCAAGAAGCCTTGCTCTGCATTTGACATTTAGTGGGGTGACTCCTACCAGGGAGCTGCTTTTCCTTTTAGAAGGTTTTGCCTTTAATGTTCTATTCATGGGCTTGTCTGAGCAAGCTGGGAGAAGGAAGGAGCACGTGTGGAGGTGGGCCTGGGGTCTACAGCTGGCCAGCCTCAGGGGAGGCAGGGCCGAGGGAGGTCACTTGATGGCCAGTGAGGGGCACCTGGGCAGGCCGGACGCTGGGGACAATGGCTATGCTCTGGCGCTGCAGCCCGGCCTCCCGCCTGCCCGCCTGCTGCCGCCTGTCGCTGGCATGTGCCGCATGCCACACGCTGCGTCTCTCTGTCTCTCATCACACGCTGCCAGACTCCGTCTCTCACCGCAGCCCTGTATGCAACCCTGGCTTTGCCCTTGTCACGGCCCTTTCCTTTCCAGGAACTGTGGGGCTGTGGAAAGACCAACGGAGCTGGCACCCTGGGGCTGTGTTCGGTCAGCTCTGGGGCGGACTCAGTAGAACCCCAGACATGTCTCCTCATCTCTGGGCCTCAGTTTACCCATCTGTAATATGACTAGATCAATGGTCTTTCAAAGTTTTTTTTTGTTTTTTGTTTTTGTTTTTGAGATGGAGTCTTGCTGTGTCACCCAGGCTGGAGTGCAGTGGTGTGATCTTGGCTCACTGCAAATTCTGCCTCCTGGGTTCAAGTGATTCTCCTGCCTCAGCCTCCCAAGTAGCTGGGATTACAGGCACCTGCCACCACAACTGGCTAATTTTTGTATTTTTAGTAGAAACGGGGTTTCACTATGTTGGCCAGGCTGGTCTTGAACTCCTAACCTCAGGTGATCCTCCCAACTCGGCCTCCCAAAGTGCTGGGATTACAGGCATGAGCCACCGCGCCCGGCCTTCAAAGGTTTTTCAATAGCAGGAGTTTCTTCAAATGGTACCTAATGTCAGAGCCCAGGGCAGGGGGGCCATGATCAGAGCCAGACCCAGGGGGAAGGGCTTCCTCCCTTGGCCTCGGTGCCACCCTGGCCGCCCCTCCAGCTTGGAGGCTCTGGAGTCCCCTGTGGTCCCTCCTAGCAGGATATAGGAAGCCACTGGGTGTGCTGAGCGTTGCCTGTTAACAAGGAGGACTGTCCGCTGTCCACAGGGCGAGGGGTTTGAGTTCTGTCACCTGCGGCTGATGGGGTGTTGCATCCCCTCCTTTCGGACCCCTTGCGGCCGCTCGGCTCTCTCTGCCCGGATCAAGGAAGGGGTTGTCCACACTTGGAGACTCCTTATTCTCACCTCTCACTCCTCAAGCCAGACCCTGCTTTTTCCCTGGCATCCACAGTCACTGCTCTGGCTTGACACTAAACCCGACAGACCTTTTCCTTATCTCCTTGACCTTCTGGGGCATCGGCCCTGTTGGCCGTCCTGCTTCCCCGGCTTCCCTGATGGCAGCCTCCATGGTTCTGCGGCTGCCCCTCTCGGCCGTCTTGGCCAGCTTCCCTCCTCTTGCCACCTCTCCAATGTGGCACCTCCCCGGGCAGCGCCATGCTTGGCTCTGGGGGCTTTCAGCACGGCCGTGGCTGCAGTGGCCGGCCATTGACTGACTCCCCAGATATCCCGTCTCCAGCCTCTGATGTCCAGAGCCACCTGCCCACCGACCCCCAGTGCCCTCATTGGTGGCCTCAAAGGCCTCTCAAACCCGGCGTGTCTGAAATTGCCTCTTCCGCAATTTCCCCATCATGGCATCTGGCACCATTGCTCTCCAGCCACCCCCAGCCCAAGAGCTGACCCCTGCCCTTCCCACACCCTCCGTGCCTCGCGAAGCCCTGCCCTTCTCCCATGATGCCCTTTGCACCTCCTCCGCCACTGCCTGCTGTGCCTCCACCTGAGCCCAGGCCACCATCATCTCCTGACCCTCCCAGCAGCCTCCTGTCTTGCCTTTGCTGAAACCAGGCCTTACACAGCGGCCGGATTCCACAGTGCCCTGTGCCCTTGTCTCTCTCTTCTTAGAACCCTTCAGCGATTCCCTTTTTCATCAGGGAATGGCCTGCCATGTCCTTCCCCCTGGCCCCACCACAGCTCTGGCCTTCTTTCTCCCCACTGCTTTGAACTCTGAGCTCCAGGTCTACCGAACTTCTTTGGATTCAATTGAATCATGTTCTTTTTTTTTTTTTCCTTTGAGATGGAGTCCTTCCCTGTCGTCCAGGCTGGAGTGCAGTGGCGCAATCTCAGCTCACTGCAACCTCTGTCTCCCAGATTCAAGCGATTCTCCTGCCTCAGCCTCCCGAGTAGCTGGGATTACAGGTGCACACCACCACACCCGGCTAATTTTTGTATTTTTAGTAGAGACAAGGTTTTGCCATGTTGGCCAGGCTGGTCTCGAACTCCTGACCTCAGGTGATCTGCCTGCGTCGGCCTCCCAAAGCTCTGGGATTACAGGCATGAGCCACCGTGCCCAGCCTGAATCATGTTCTTTTGTCTTGAAGGATTTGCTCAAGCAGCTCATTCTGCCTAGAACACTCCGTGGCTGCTTCCCCTGCACTCCCATCCTCAGGTCTCAACTTATACACATCTTCTGGGGAAGGTCCCTCCATGCCTTGAATGGGGAGAGTGGGGGGTCCTGAGAGCTCTGTGGGGCTCTGCACATCCCTGTCATGGTACTCAGCCTTCCTTGTTGCGATGATAATACTTTTATGTGATCTGTCTTCCCCGCCAGTTGGTGAGTTCCATGAGGAGACTGCAACTTCTCCACCCTGTGCCCCTCCAGATCCCTCATGCTGCTCTGTGTCCTCCAGGGTTGGCCTGTCCAAGTTCAACAGTGGGCTTCCACACCCTCCCACTTCCAGCTGGGTTGGCCAAGGGTGAGTCCCCATGGGCACTGGGTGTCCCTCCCAAAAGGTTACTGAAAGATTTTCCCAGAAGCACAGCCTGAGTTTCAAAAATTCAAGCAAGTAGTTTATTTGGGAAATGATCCAAGGAAATGCCAGGAACTGAGTGAGAGGTTGAAACAGAGTAGGGGAGAAGCCAGTCAGGGACTCACTGGGTCAAGTAATTACCACTGTGGGTACCAGAGCTTAACCCTGCTGCACAGCTTTGGGATGCAGTCTAGAACCCGCACCTCAAAGCTATCAAACCCCAAGGGTGAGAGAGCTGGGGTATTTATGTTCCAGGGTGAGGGAGCTGGGGTATTTATGTTCCAGGGTGAGGGAGCTGGGGTATTTATGTTCCAGGGTGAGGGAGCTGGGGTATTTATGTTCCAGGGTGAGGGAGCTGGGGTATTTATGTTCCAGGGTGAGGGAGCTGGCGTATTTATGTTCCAGGGTGAGACAGCTGGGGTATTTATGTTCCAGGGTGAGAGAGCTGGGGTATTTATGTTCCAGGGTGAGGGAGCTGGGGTATTTATGTTCCAGGGTGAGGGAGCTGGGGTATTTATGTTCCAGGGTGAGGGAGCAGGGGTATTTATGTTCCAGCACCCACCGGTCACTGGCTGAGTCTTGTTCCTGTGGTGGTATTCATTCCCAGCACAGTTGGCCTGCTCTGTAGGTGAGCAAAGCCAGCTCCGCTGCTAGAGAAAGCCCTGAGGCAAAGAAATGCAAGTCTTTGCAGCTGGAAGTCAGGCTGGTGTGCCGAAATGGTCAAAGCCAGGGCTGTGGGCAGGCCCTCGCAGTATCTGCTACACAGCCCCTGCCACTAGCCCTCCTGGCAGCTCTTTCTACCTGTGAGTTCAGTAAGAGCTCCCCCTCACTTAGCCCTGGGGGTCTGTATGTGTTGGGGGTGGTTATGACATTATCTCTTAGGGCTTCCCTGTCCCCCTCACTTCTCTCTTCTTCTTTATTCATCAAATTACTCAATCTGAAAATGCTCTTTCCTATCAGGACCCCACTAAAACAGCATCCTGCACAAAATAGAACATAGCAGGCCGGGCGCAGTGGCTCACACCTGTAATCCCAGCACTTTGGGAGGCCGAGGAGGGCGGATCACCTGAGGTCATGAGTTCGAGACTAGCCTGGTCAACATGATGAAATCCTGTCTGTGCTAAAAATACAAAATTTAGTTGGGCATGGTGGCGTGTGCCTATAATTCCAGCTACTTGGGAGGCTGAGGCAGGAGAATTGCTTGAACACAGGAGGTGGAAGTTGCGGTGAGCCGAGATCATGCCACTTCACTCCAGCCTGGGTGACAGAGCGAGACTCCAACTCAGAAAAAAAAAAAAGAAGAAGAAGAAGAACATAGCACATAGTGACATTAGGTAAAAAGTGCTGGATCAGTAGACTTGAGTTGATTGGCTAATAAATGTTGATTGAATGATTGTACATAGGTTGGACCACAAGAAACTTAGTACCAAAACCTAATATTTATATTGTTCTGTAACCATAAGAGAAATTAAATCGTGATCTAGGGCTTAAAAAAAAAACAGAGAGAGAAGGAGAAAAAGAGAAAGAAAAAAATAGAAACAGTACCAGGAACCAGGAGGAAATGGGGAATTTTTAGTGAGGAGGATGCAGAGAAGAGTCCTACACCACGCACTTTTCCCTGTGCAATGCCTCATTAAAAGCAGAAAACGCACGTCTCATTAGTCCCAAGTTACAGATGAGGATACCGAGGCTCTGAGGGGCTCAGTAGCTTGGGCAGGGCCTTAGGGCCGCCTCACCGCAGCCCAGCTGTGTTCCTTGTGGCTCCAGGAAGCCAGCAGGCACGGAAAGACTGGCCTTCTGGACCACAGAGGATGCCCAGCAGAGCAGGCGCTGTGTTAGGAAAATAACCTCTCGCTTGGAAAAGTTTAGGGTTGTACTTGGCAGATGTGTTTGGAACAAAATTTGTACTATCGACTCCGTGGCAAACGGAAACCTCTCATGGACACTCTCTGGGCTTCAGAGATCTGAAATGTCTAAATGAGGCCGGACCAAACATGCTAAAATTGCCAGAGGAAGCTGAGCTCGGGTGGTGCCTGGGGTGAGAAGACGCTGCCTCTTTTGTCTTGGCTCCCATCTGTGAAATTGACTCGTTACTTTGAACTGCTTCCTCTCCTCCCAGGGAGGGCTCCAGGGGCGTTGCTCAGGCCTGCGGTTTAAAAAGAATCTCCCCAAGCGAGGAGGGGCCGAGGGAAAGAGGCTCGGGAACTTCTTGGGCTATGCTCAAGAGAATGCACCAGCCAAAGGGGACATTTTACCACTCACACGTGACTCGTGGGGTGGCAGTTAGCCCCGGGGCTGCCTTGAGATTGTGGCAATGATCATCTTACCTAATTGGCCCACTGCCCCTGATGGGCTGGTATTTCTGCTTTCATGGCCAATTCTGATTGCAGAGATTCATGGGAGCTCATTGGAAATGGGGGATTATTGCAAGGAGATGAGTGACCTGGACTCCCAAAGCCTCCAGGCAAGGGAGGAGCTCCAGAATGTACAGCCCTCCGTGGTCCCTCTCCTGGCCTCTCTGCCCTGGCCTCTCCCTCCACCCCGCCAGCTCCTCCTCTTGCCCCACATCCAAAGCCATGGACCCACCCCTTGCTCTCCAGCACGGCCTTTCATCTTCCCCTCCCACAGCTAGGTGCCTCCAATTCCTGGCTTTCCCAGAAGGAAGAGCCCAGTGGAGCCAGCCGTGTCATGACTCCTGTCGGACCGTGTTACAGACCATGATCACCGACCAGTTCTTTATCCATGGATGAGCGGTCACCTTTTATCTTGTCAGCCAGGAGGGGTATGGAGGGCTGTCTCCATTTGACAAACGTTTATTTTTATTTCATTTCATTTTATTTTTTTGAGATGGAGTTTCACTCTTGTTGCCCAGGCTGGAGTGCAATGGCGCGATCTTGGCTCACAGCAACCTCCGCCTCCCAGGTTCAAGCCATTCTCCTGCCTCAGCCTCCCGAGTAGCTGGGATTACAGGCATGCGCCATCACGCCCGGCCAATTTTGTATTTTTAGTAGAGACGGGGTTTCTCCATGTTGGTCAGGCTGGTCTCAAACTCCAGACCTCAGGTGATCCGCCTGCCTTGGCCTCCCAAAGTGCTGGGATTACAGGTGTGAGCTACCGCGCCCGGCCGACAAACGTTTATTTAACAACGATGAACTGCCTGCCTACTGCTGGTTTGGCACTGAGGGTGAAGCGATGAATAAAATCCAAGGCACCGAGCATGGTGGCTCACACCTGTGATCCCAACACTTAGGGAGGCCGAGGTGGGAGGATCACTCGAACCCAGGATTTCAAGACCAGTCTGGGAAACATAGTGAGACTTCATCTCTACAAAGTGCTTTGTTTGTTTGTTTGTTTGTTTGTTTGTTTTTTAATTAGCCAGGCATGATGGTGTGTGCCTGTAGTCCCAGCTATTTGGGAGGCTGAGGTGGGAGGATTGCTTGAGCCCAGGAGACCGTGGCTGCAATGAGTTGTGATCACACCACTGCACTCCATCCAGCCTGGGTGGCAGAGCAAGACCCCATCTCTAAATAAATAAATAAATTCCAAGTTTCCTGTTTTTTTTGGAGCTTACATTCTAGTTGGGGTGGAGAAATAGACAATAAACAACTATATATATATTGAGACAGAGTCTTGCTCGCTAGCCCAGGTTGGAGTGCAGTGGCAAGATCTTGGCTCACTGCAATCTCCGTCTCCTGGGTTCAAGCGATTCTCGTGCCTCAGCCTCCTGAGTAGCTGGGATTACAGACGCCTGCCATCGTGCCTGGCTAGTTTTTTATTTTTTATTATTATTTTTTTATTTTTAGAAGAGATGGGGTTTCACCATGTAGGCCAGGCTGGTCTTGAACTCCTGGCCTCAAGTGATCTACCCACATCGGCCTCCCAAAGTGCTGGGATTATAGGCGTGAGCTACCGCGCCTGGCTAAACAACTATATTCTATCAGGTGGGGTAAGTGCTTTGAAGAAAATTAACAGTTGAAGAACAGAGGGTGACCAGAGAGCGGTTATTTTAGGAGATTGGCAGAGAAGTCTTTCTGATAGACGGACATTCGAACAGAGGCCTAAGCGAAGTGAGGGAGTGAGGGAGGGCGCTGCAGACATTAGAGCTGCTTCTCCCTGGGGAGGGCTCTCCTGGCAGAAGGAACAATAGCAGGTGCAAAGGCCCTGCGTCAGGCATGTGCTTGCTACAGTACCTGGCTGTCTCCGTGGCTGGGGCTGTGGACAGGGCCGGCATTCTGTGTTGTGGCCTGTGGAGTGGTTTGAGATTCCTTTGGAGAGTACCAGAACTTGCGGTCAGTCCCAAGTCCATCAGCCACTTGGCCAGGGGTTCAGGGACCAAGGCAACAGCTATGGCAGCGGGCAGGAGGAGAAGTGGCCGATCTGGGGATCCCCCTTTACATCGGGGTCAGATGCCTCTCTTTCTCAGCTGTTTATGTGGCCCAGGCTGCAGTTTGAGTATAAGGTCAGAGATTGATTCCCATGAATCCTGCCTTTTTTTTTTTTTTTTGAGACGGAGTCTTGCTCTGTCGCCCAGGCTGGAGTGCAGTGGCGTGATCTCGGCTCATTGCAACCTCCACCTCCTGGCTTCAAGCAATTCTCCTACCTCAGCCTCTCGAGTAGCTGAGATTACAGGCACACACCACCACGCCCAGCTAATTTTTGTGTTTTTAGTAGAGATGGGATTCACCATGTTGGCCAGGCTGGTCTCAAACTCCTGACCTCATGATCTGCCCACCTCAGGCTCCCAAAGTGCTGGGATTACAGGCGTAAGCCACCGCACTTGGCCAATGTTTGTACTTTTAGTAGAGACAGGGTTTCCCCTTGTTGACCAGGCTGGTCTTGAACTCCTGACCTCAGGTGATCCACCTGCCTCGGCCTCCCAAAGTGCTGGGATTACAGGTGTGAGCCACCAAGCCCGGCGAACCCTGCCCTTTTACTCCACAGCATACAACATAGAACTTAGTTCTGGGCACAGCCTTGTCTTTTTCAGTCCCTGTCTCATTGATACATCACCCTTTTCTCCCCATTTACACCATCAGTTCCAGCCAGACCAGAGCCCCTGTGCCTTGTAGTCATTTCCTGAATGAACTCTCACTGTGTTCCAGGCAGGGTGGGAGTGAGTAAACCCTGGGCTGAGGCTCAGTCTGCAGGCCCAGGAAATTTACAACCTGCTAGGAGAGAGAAGCCACACCCTGGATAAGTGAAAGGATGGTGTAGGTGATAAGGAAGGCACTTTCAAGCCAGGGGGAAGGCGGCTGGAGGTGAGGTACCTGCTCCCAGGTGCACCTGGGAGGCTTTGTGAGAGGAAGAGAGGCTTGACAGGAAGGTTGGAAAGGCTGGAGAGCAACGCGACAACCCGTGCTTAGGCCACAGTCACTGTTCGTGCCACGGATCGGTGGCAGATCAGTTAGTGGTAGGGCGGATTGGTGGGAGCCCAACTGTTGCAAAGCCTCAAGAACCAGGGAGGAGGAGGTTGGTTGACTCAACAGCCACAGAATTTTTTTGAACTTCCCAAATGCATACCCAGGGAGCAAACACAGATTGGAAACCTACAGATTGGCAAAAAGAAGAAAATCACTACAACCCCACAGCCCAAAGAGCAAAGTGTGGGAAAGCTCACCCCTCCCAGGGTGTTCGTGCATTTCATAATCCGGCTACGCTTCCTTCCTACGTTCACGCAGATGCACCCGTCTCGTTTAATTAACAGTATTTCTCAAACACCTTTCTATGTTGGTAATTCCTTTTTTTTAATGTGTCAAAATTTTGTTTTATTTTTCATTATGTTTGTAATTCTAAGCCTCAGTTTGGGGTGGTCTTTTTTTTTTTTTTGAGATGGAGTCTAGCCCTTGTTGCCCAGGCTGAATTGCAATGGCGCAATCTCGGCTCACCGCAACCTCTGCCTCCCGGGTTCAAGTGATTCTCCTGCCTCAGCCTCCCGAGTAGCTGGAATTACAGGCATGCACCACCACAGCCGGATAATTTTGTATTTTTAGTAGAGACGGGGTTTCTCCATGTCAAGGCTGGTCGCGAACTCCTGACCTCAGGTGATCCGCCCGCCTCGGCCTCCCAAAGTGCTGGGATTACAGGCATGAGCCACCATGCCTGGCCTAAGCCTCAGCTTTTTGTTGTTGTTTATTTTTTTGGGTTTTTTTTGAGACGGAGTCTTGCTCTGTCACCCAGGCTGGAGTGCAGGGGCGCAATCTCGGCTCACTGCAGCCTCCTCCTTCCAGGGTCAAGCGATTCTCCTGCCTCAGCCTCCTGAGTAGCTGGGATTACAGGCGCGTGCCACCATGCCTGGCTAATTCTTTTGTATTTTTAGTAGAGACGGGGTTTCACCACCCTGGCCAGGCTGGTTTCGAACTCCTGACCTCATGGTCTGACCGCCTTGGCCTCCCAAAGTGCTGGGATTACAGGCGTGAGCCACTGTGCCCAGCCAAGCCTCAGTTTTAACGGCTGCAAAATGTTCCATTGTAGGATTTGCCAGCACCCTCAGGTTGGCAAGACCACTGTTAGAGACCATGCCACAGCCAGCATCTGGCAGCCTGGCCTACCCACTTTGTGAGTTTCTGAGCAGAGGCAGGGGAGCAGAATGAGAGGCCAAGGCCTTCACAGGGAGCTGGCTGGGTGAAGGCCAGAGCAAGAGGTCGGCGACATCCATTGGCACCACCCCAAGCAGCCAGACGGGACTTGAATTACTATCATCCAATTATTTGGAGAGGAAGAGTGTGTGTGTGTGTGTGTGTGTGTGTGTGTGTGTGTGTTGGGGCTGTGAACATGGCCTAGGTCTGCAGTGCAGCCGACTGTGGGTGATCCAGAGGAGGAAGGTGTACAGAGGCATTTGTTTTCTTTGGGATCTGGGTGGCTTGTGGCATCAGAAAACTGTGGCTGGAGTATGAGGAAAGGCGTACCCCTTGCTTCTGATTTGGGCCAGGGGATTTGTGTGATTTTGATGTATTTGTAGACTTTCAACTGCGGCACCAGAAGGGACCTTATAGCTGAGAAAATTGAAGCTCAGAGAGCTGCAGCAGCTTGCCCAGCATCATACGGCACTGGAAATGGTCAGCCAATGTGTTCCGTAGAGCACGGTGGGTAACACACCCTTCATCTTTCCAGGACCCCATCGCCAACCTCTTCCTGTACCTCTGCTCCGCTGAGCACACATTAAAAAAAAGAAAAGGCCGGGCACAGTGGCTTATGCCTGTAATCCCCGGACTTTGGGAGGCTGAGGCAGGAGGATCGTTTGAGGCCAGGAGTTCAAGACCAGCCAACATGGCGAAACCCCGTCTCTACTAAAAAAAATAAATGCAAAAATTAGCCAGGCATCATGGCATGTGCCTGTAATCCTAGCTACTCAGGAGGCCGAGGGACAAGAATCACTTGAAGCCGGGAGGCGGAAGTTGCAGTGAGCTGAGATCGTGCGACTGCACTCCAGCCTGGGCAACAAAGCGAGAGACTGTCTCAAAACAAAACAAAACAAATTTGGCCAGGCGTGGTGGCTCATGCCTATGATCCCAGCACTTTGGGAGGCTGAGGCGGGAGGGTCACTTGAGCCTGGTAGGTCAAGGCTACGGTGAACCATGATTGCACCACTGCACCCCAGCCTGGGTGACTGAACAAAACCCTGTCTCAAAAAAACCCAACTGGTTGCAGTGGCTTACGCCTGTAATCCCAGCACTTTGGGAGGCTGAGGTGGGCAGACTGCCTGAGGTCAGGAGTCGGAGACCAGCCTGGCCAACAATGGAGAAACCCAGTCTCTACTAAAAATACAAAAAAATTAGCTGGGTGTGGTGGCGCGCGCCTGTAATCCCAGCTACTTGGGAGGCTGAAGCTTGAGAA